>NC_000021.9:43929857-44083753 GCF_000001405.40 Homo sapiens
TGCCGAGCTAAATCCAGGTAGACAGGTTGGTGAGATGGCGCTCCCAGCGAGCTCACAGTGTCTCATTAACCTCATAAATGCAGCGGACACTGGGCTGCAGGTGACAGACGCGTTCTCTGGAGCACCGACAGCCCAGGCGTGCCGGAGAGAGAGGACTTGAGTGACTGTCCTCCTGGAACCCAGGGTGCCTTGTCCTGGCACTTCTGTGTACATCATCCAGCCCCGTTTTCACGTTCAGGAAGTCACGAATCCACAGTGTCTTTGAAGAAAGTGGGGAATAGAGTTATCAACCGTCACTCCACGGAGAGTCTAAGGCAGAGAGAAGTTGGGTTCCCCTTCCACGGTTCCCTGCCCCCGGGGACACAGTTGTGGGAGGTCTCAGGGCAGAGACGCCGCACGGTGGGGTAGGGGGCTCTGGTGCCAATACCAATGCAGCCCGGTTCCCTGTCCTGGGCCTGCCAGTGACTTTGTGGTCCTGGGCAGGATTATTTTCAGAGGCAGTGGAGCTAGCGGGGCAGAGCTGTGCTGAGCGCTGAGGGATCATTTGTGTAAAGCACCTGCCACTGAGTGTGACCTCAGGGTTGCCCGTGCGACCTCAGCGTGGCCCATGGGACCTCGCTGTGGTGTGTCTCAGCAACATCATCTTTCTTACTGTCCCTGTTCTCTGGGCCTCTCTCAGACCTTGGGGACAGCAAGCTCTGCCCCGTGAACTCAGAGGCTGCAGCTCCTGATTGTGGGTGTCCACAGTGGGCAGGCCTGGCGGGGTGAGGGTGGGTGGGTGTTTCTGTCGGGATGAGGGGAAGGCGGGGATGAGGTGGGGGTGCACACCTGGGCTGAGGGGAGCAGAGGGAAGCAGGGCTTGCTGGCACATTCCCAGGGGGCTGCTGTAGGGCCAGTGTCCCCTCCTGGGGTGGCAGGAGGTGGCTCCTCACGGTGGCCGGGGTGGCCCACGGCAGGCCAGTGTGCGGTCCTCAAGCTGCTGGTGACAAACGCAAGGGGCCTGCTGCCCTGTCCCCTCGGGCGGGCGCCACTTCCTTCCTGCATGTTCCTGTTCCGCATTACAGATTGTTTTTATGGCCCCCACTACGTGAGATCCTGGGGCAGGGGCTGTGGGGGCTCTAGAGTGGGGGTGAACGCACGTCTGAGGCTCATCAGGGACTCAGCGTGGGGCCCTGGGGTGGGTTTGCCATTGCCTTTTCTCGAGGGCCCCGTGACTGGACAGCCCAACTGCTCTCCAGGTCAGTTTTCTTGTCCAGACCCGGGGTCAGGGCGGACACTGGATGAGGGGGAGTGTCAGTGAGGGAAACAGAGACCTTTTAGAAATGATGTCACACTGACACCTGTGTGCTGGACCTCCCACGTTCCCCGCATCTGGTGCTAGTGACGTCCCACTGCTGGGGTGAGGGAGGTTAATCACACCTGGAGTTTCGCTCGGTCACTGGCATGAGAAAGGAAATGTGGAATCTTCATGGGGTTTATCTGAAGAAAGATTTTATTGACATCCTAAAAACACTCTATTTTATGTTGTAGCTCTGAGGAGGCCTCCAGGAAATTGAATCAACATACTCGGTTCTTCTCTTTTAATATTTTTGAATAAATCATTAAGTTTTCATGTCCAGGGAAATAATCAGGAGATATTATATTCCTATGACATTTGTTTGGGCGATATGTTCAGATGAGCTTTGTTCTTCTTAACCTTGAAAAAGAGATGTGGAGGTAAAAACCGAAGAGCGACGTGGAGTAGGACGCCACATCGGCCCCGTTAGTGCGACTCCCAGGCAGAGAACTGCCGCGTGCTTCAGCTTTGATTGACACTGAGCATCCCCAGCCACCGGCACTGTCGTCAGTATTCAGACAGTGCAGCTCCCGTTCATCAGAAACACCACCAGAAGGGGATTTTGGCAGAGGTCTTATGCCAAAATCCATTATTTCAAAATAAGTAAAACCATGATTCTAAACATTCTAGGTTTGCTGTAAAGAGCATGATGAAAAGCTCCAGCTATCTCAATGTTCCATACAGGTTGAGGTTTTGTTTCCGTTCTGCTTTTTACCTGAAGAGGATCTCGTGTGTGTGTGTGTGTGTGTGTGTGTGTGTGTGTGTGTGTGTGTCTACCTACCTACTACCTATTTGTCATCTATCTATAATTGACAAAATATGATTGTGTATATGGAGTACCATGTGATCTATGTGTACATTGTAGAAAGATTAATTAAGCTAATTAACATAGCTATCAGCTCACCAACATCGTTTTTGGTGGTGTGGATGTTAAAAATCTATTCTTTCCCTGATTTTGAAACATGATACGTTATTGTTAACTGGTCGCCACGCAGCGCGGCCGATCACGAACACGTCCCTCCAGTCTAACTGAAACTGCTCCCTTTGATCAGCACCTCCCCTGCCCGTCCTTGCCCAAGCCCCCAGCCCCTGGTAACCACCGTGCTCCTCCCAGTTCTGGTGAGACCTCCGTTTCCGATTCCTCGTGTGAGTGAGGTCGTGCAGGACTTGTCGTTCTGTGACTGGCTGATTATCCACTTAGTGTCGGGTCTACCACGTTTGTCTGTGATGTTGCCAGTGACAGGACTTCCTTCTTCCTTATGGCTGAATAATAACACGGCGTTACGCACCGCACGCTCGCTATCCATTCGTCTGTTGGTGGGCACCTGGGCTGCCTCCATCGTGTGGCTGTTGGGGGTGATGCTGCAGTGAACATGGGCGTGCCGGTGTCTATTTGACACACTGATTTCAGTTCCTTTAGATACATACCCAGAAGTGGGATTGCCGGACCTTATGGTAGTTCCTTTTGTTTTCTTGAGACGGAGTCTTGCTCTGTCGCCCAGGCTGGAGTGCGATGGCACGGTCTCGGCTCACTGCAAGCTCCGCCTCTTGGGTTCAAGCGATTCTTTTGCTTCAGCCTCCCGAGTAGCTGGGATTACAGACGCCCGCCACCATGCCGGGCTAATTTTGTATGTTTAGTAGAGATGGGGTTTCACCATGTTGGCCAGACTGGTCTCGAACTCCTGACCTCAAGTGATCCACCCGCCTTGGCCTCCCAAAGTGCTGGGATTACAGGTGTGAGCCACCGCCCTGGGCCAGTAGTTCCATTTTTGACTTTTGGAGGCACCTCCAGATGGTTTGTGTAGTGGCCACACTGATTGACGCTCTCTCTCCCTCACAGCGTGCCAGGTGCCTTTTCTCTGCGTTCTCGTCAACACCTGTTACATTCGTCTTTTTGATAATAGCCAACTGAACGGCATGAAATGACACCTCCCTGTGGCTTCGATTTGCTTCTCCCTGATGGTTAATAATGCCGAACAGCTCTTCGTTAACCTGCTGGCTGTCGGTGTGGCTCCTTCTGAGGCACAGCCGTTCGGGTCCTTTGCTGTTTGCTTTCTTGCTATTGAGTCTGAGCCCCTTTACCCTGTGGATGCTGGGCCTGCATCGGGCATGTGGTCTGCAGGGTTTTCTCTCCCTTGCGGGTCGTCTCTTTACCCTGTCGTTCCCTTTGTCATGCAGAAGCTGTTTAGTTTGCCGTAATCCCAGTGGTCTATGTTTGCTTTTGTCGTGTATCTTTTTTAAAGCTCTGCCATCTGTTTTCTCCATGGGGAAAGGTTTGGGAATATCGATGATGTCATCATACTCCTGGCTGCTTCTTGACATTTTCCATGCCCAGCATTGTTCTCAGTGCGCCCCGGGGGTCTTTGGTTCTCCATAGCCTGCTGGCGTCCATGTGTTTTTATTCTTTCTTTATGGTTGAGGAAACTGAGGCACAGCTTGGAAGCGGTTGGCACTGGGGTTAGGCTCCAGTAGTCTCGGCATGTAGCAGCAAATGTGGGAGGGGCAGCACAGGGGAAAGGTGAGGGGAGAGTCAGGAGAGAAGGACGCCGCATACCAGATGCCCAGAGGCCCCGGCGGCCTCCATCCAAGCACAGGCCCAAGCACCAGCTGCAAGAGCCAGAGGACGGCACTCCCGCGCCTGCCACGAGCCTCACGTGGAGAGTGGACAGTGGCATGGAAACGCCAGAGGGTTAGAACTGAGCAGCAGGACGGGGTCTGTGGGTGCACGAGAGGAGGCCCTTGGTCTGGAACAGCCTGGGGTCCCCATGTGCTGTCACTGTGTGGACTGGCCACACCTGGTGTGCCGCTTCCTTTCTCAGTCATGGCCAGCTGCCGAATGCCGTACCAGGGCAGGGGCAGTGGAGCAGGTGTCTGCCCTACATTGCTCATCCTTGGTAGTTTGGGTGATGAGGTTTTGAGACCTGGATGCTGGAGAACAGGCAGACATGGGTGCCCGGCACGCCAGCTCCCCGAGCACCAGCTCCCCTGCCGAGCACCAGCTCCCATATGCCAGTCCCCTGAGAACCAGCTCCCTGAGCACGCCAGCCCCCCAAGGACCAGCTCCCACACACCAGCCCTCTCACCGCGGTGTGCCTGTCCCCACCTCCCAAGGGCGGAAGGAGGGGCCTCCAGGCCTCGTCTTCCTTCACTGTGCCCATGCTCAGAGATGGTGACTTCATAAGAGGCCACAGAGGCTCCGCAAGTCCCCAGGCCGTCGGCTGCCTGGCCCTGGCCTGCGTGGCAGCGCAACCTCGTTGGTAGAGTCAGGAGGCTGGGCCTCCACTAGGATGTTATACAGGCAGCATGGCTTAGGTGTCAGAGACGGGAAAGGACCTGGAAGAAAAGAACTGTTTCCTTTAGGCCCCGTGGGGTAACCAGAAGGTAAGACTAGGAGGTGTGCGATGGTGATGGGGCGGAGGAGGGGACAGCGGGAACCTGTGGAGGGGCGGGCTCAAGCCCTGGTCGTGAGCAGGATGACATTCAGATAGCTGGGAGCACGAGGAGGCCACGTGCCCATGGTGGAGGAGCCACAGCACAAAGCAAGCCACGCCATGCCACCCACGTGCTGCCATATCACATCACGCCACCCACGCCACTCACACGCCACCCATGCCACCCACACCACCTCTACCCCTCACGTCACCGACGCCACTCACATGCCACTCACATGCCATTGACACGCCACCCACGCCACTCACATGCCACCCATGCCACCCACACCACCTCTGCCCCTCACATGTCACCCACGCCACTCACATGCCACTCACATGCCATTGACACGCCACCACGCCACTTACGCCACCCACGCTACTACCCATGCCACCCATGTGCCGTCCACCACCCACGCCACCCACACCACTCACATGCCACACACAGAACCAGTGTGGAGGCTGGACAGGGGGGGCTTCTCACCTGAGAGCGTGAGGAAGCAGTGGGGAGCACCTGGCAATTCTGGAGAGCTCAGCCAAGTCACCAAAGTGCCGTGCCGCGCTAGCACGCTTTGCTGTGCGGGCATCGGTTGTGTCACACACTGGGCCGTGTGGTGGCCTTGCGTGGTGAGGGAGCAGGAGGCAGGCTCAGGACACACCACAAGAGCAAATGTCAGAGCTGGGACCCAGGGGCAGCACCCTCCAGTAGCAGCACCCAGATCCCGCCTCTCTCCAGCCCCGGGGAGGCTGAGCCGGGGTCCCCAGCTGGGAGTGCCCCCAGGCGCCTGGCCCTGGCAGGCATGAAGCCGTTCAGGAGGAGGGCAGGGCCAGCATAGGCCCCACAATGTCCCCACAGTTTTTACAGTGAGAAGTGGCCTTAGAGGTCAAGTCCAGGAGCGGCCTGCAGGGCGGCCTCTGCACGCAGTACTGGGCATCGGCGCTGCTGCGGAGCTCGGAGAGACCTGAGGCCGGGCCCACAGATGCTCACTGCTCGGTAGGGGCATTCTGGGGCCTCAGGGCTGGGTCTGCCTGGCATTTGGGGAGTCTGTTATTCAGACATGGAAAGGGAACGACTCTCCCAGGAAGGGATTTTTTTTTTTCCTTATCACGAGAAAGGCAGTGACCCAGGCGTGGGGCAGGAAGGACAACCTGGCTTCATCATCACAGGCGGCCACGGAGGAGCTCAGACTCAGGCCCACAGCACCTCAGCTACTCTGGAGATTAAGGAGTGGAGAAGCCTCAGCCAGGGCTCGGGGCTTGGGGCAGTGCCCTGGCTCTCCAGGTGCGCTAAGCAAACAGATCATGCCAGGCTTTTTCCCTGATGGCGGCTCGAGTCGGAAGCCAGAGTGTAGAACAGTAGCGGAGCCCGCCCAGCTGTTCCTAAGCAAGGCCTAGGCCCCACTGCAGGGTCACACGGAAGGCTCACATGCCGCAGCCCTGGCCCCCACACCTGCAGCTCGGGCACCCCTGGGGACAGCCGTGGTGGTCAATCTGCTCACTTCAAAGAGGGGGAGCCAAGGCCAGAGAAGTCAAGTGACCTGCCAGGACCCCAGCTCTGCAGCCCAAAGAGTCCAGGACTGAAGCAAAAGCAGGGAGAGGGGAGGACAATGCAGCCCCAGCCCCTTGTGCCTGACGTCACACCAGGCTGGCACCAGGCCTCCAACCCCAGCCGGGTTCCTCAGCCTCCCCTAGCAGTGGCGAGCACGGCATTGTTTACCGGGGGCTGTGGACTTTTCTGTGGGTGCACCTGCAGCGTTCGTCTGTCTGAGAGCAGACTGCTGTCCTCCGTGGGGCCAGTGCCTCTGCCCTCCTGGCACACGGCCACAGTGCCTCCCTCCGGAAGAATGGCCTGGGAGTCAAAGCTGCAAGTTTTAGTTGTCTCCTCATGTACAAGGATTTCTCCGGCAGAGGAAGACACAGTGAGAGAATCAGGTGGCACGCCGGTAATGCCTGTGTTGAAAGACCTGCTCGTGAATGAGCTCTGCCCCTATAATACTTCTGTTCTATCACAGCCGAAAAGCTCACCCGACTGCTGCCCACAGAGACTTCAGATACCTTGGCAAAAACAAGACATCCTTTCCTTTTCCCGACCGCAGCTCTTGGATGGAGGCGCAGAGGCCTAGTGCTTCTGAGTGGAGCCATGCCTGGCGCCAGCCTGGCTCTCCCGTGTCAGCTCCGCCTAAAGCGGCTCCCAGGCCTCTGTGCCTCAGCGAAAAGGGCTTCCCTGTGTATTTGCAACTGCACGGCCTGTTTCCTTGCCCTAAAATTTGTTAAAATCTTCAAGATGTGAACAAGCTTTTTTCCTCTTAAAAAAATGACATATTTAGAAGTAGGCTGTGGGTCCCTGGGATGCTGGTTCCCCCAAGTATTTTTCTCTAATAGAAATCTTTGGTTTTGTTTTTAAAAGGAATTCTCCATTCACGTACTGTTCTGAATGGTAGCCATGTTTGCTTTAAGATAAAAGAACACCCCGCCTGCAAACCTGAGTGGGGCTGGCACTCCTGGGTGGGGGAACGTTGACCCTGTGGCTTCCTGTGGCCCTGGAGAAAACTCAGGCTTGCTGTTATCACAGGGGTACCCATGAGTGACTTTTGGATTTTGGGAAATGCAAAGCATGTAGATAAGAAGTTGGTCCCTAGATATGTGTGAGTCCCAAAGGCCCACTGGGTGGGGCGCTGGTGAATTGAGCTGAAAGTAGCAGAATCTGCCTTGAGCTGACCTAGGTGGGAAGCCCCAGGGGTCAGCTCCTCTACGCTGGCCTTTGCTTGGCTTGGCGGAGGCGCGCAAGGCCCCTGACTATATCTGTTCCTCCTCTGGGCCACCCTCTAGGTTGCTTTCCACTGCAGGCCTGTCTCCTTGAGGTGACATCGTGGCTGCCTCTGCACCAGCCATCACAACTTGATACAGATAAGTCTGATGTCAGGAAAAGGGAGTTTTTTTTGTTTTGTTTTGTTTTTCTGGAGACAGGGTCTCCCTCTGTCACTAAGGCTTAAGTGCAGTGGCGCAATCGTGGCTCACTGCAGCCTTGAACTCCTGTGTTCAGGTGATCCTCCTGCCTCCGAAAGTGCTGGAATTACAGGCGTGAGCCACCATGCCTGGACAGGAAAAGGGAAATTTCTTTTTGCAACCTTTTGTCAGGGGCTGAAACCTTTCTGGAAGCTCCAAAAGACTCCTTTCTCTCTCTCATTAACTATCTCTAAGGCAGTCATTAGGACGCATCCCATGAAACCAGATGACTTCTGCATAGCCATTGCCTTCTATACCTCAGGCAGGTTCTTGTTAGAAGAAGTGCCAGGCAGAGGTTGTGTGGGCAGCCAGTCATATTTGCATATTTTGGGGTGACTGTGCAGACAGTGCTGGACCAAGGAAGTTGTCTGGGTCCTCGCTGCAGAGGGAGGAGGAAGCAGCTCACACGCTTGCTGTTGTCTGGTGGGAGGGCTGCATTTCTCCTCTCTCCCCCACTTTCTCTCTCTCTCTCTCTCTCACACACACACAGACACACACACACACACACACACACTCACACTCACTGTTGGGTTTCTTGGGCTGCTAACAGGATTAAATGAATGTCTTGGTTCCATGATGTGCATGTTACGCTAGAGAGCTAAGTTAGTTAACATCGCTCATTGGGATAGAAGGAACGTACTGAGGAACGTACTGAGGATTAGAAGTCAGAATTCTTGAATCTGCAAATCTTTTTTTTTTTTTTTTTTTTTTTTTGAGACAGAGTCTTGCTCTTGTTGCCCAGGCTGGAGTGCTCACTGTAACCTCTGCCTCCCGAGTTCAAGCGATTCTCCTGCCTCAGCCTCCTGAGAAGCTGGGATTACAGGCATGCTAATTTTTTGTATTTTTAATAGAGACAGGGTTTCACCATGTTGGCCAGGCTGGTCTCAAACTCCTGACCTCAGGTGATCCACCAGCCTCGGCCTCCCACAGTGCTGGGATTACAGGTGTGAGCCACCGTGCCCGGCCTGCAAATCTTCTATTTTGTTCAGACACTAACTCCAGCCCTATAAATAGTCATCCAATACTTCCAGTAAATGGTGCGCCTCATATTGATCTGCCTGGTTGCCTTACCGTGTTTGTTACATTGCTGTGTAACGAGTTACCCACAAACTTAGCAGCGAAAACAGCAGACATCTATTATCTCACACAGCTGCGGAGGGTCAGGAATCCAGGAGTGGCTTAGCGGGCGATTCTGGGTGTCACGTGGAGTCACATGGGGTCAATGTGTTGGCCGGGGATGCAGTCACCTGAAGCCTTGTGGGGGGAAGGAGGGGCTCCCCCAGGCCTGGGAAGGCTGCGGCTGCCCCATCACGCTCTCTCCTCCACCAGGTTCACAGGTTCACAGAAGTAAAGGCTGAGCATGTCAGGACTGAGCTGAGCGGTTCCCACCTCTCAGTCCACAGTTTCCCACAGAGCACGCAGGGGCCGCACCAGGGCTGGGACGGGGCTGCGACCAGGCTAGGGGAGCATCCTGGGCAAACCCTGCTGGGGACAGGTTCGTTGTGTCTGATGCCGTGGGAGATGCACGAGCAGTGACTTTCACTTTATCCCACTGTGGCCCCGTGACCCTGAGCGAGAATGCACTGGCCGGGCCTCCAGGGGGCGCTCCCTTAGGAACACCCCATCCCCGTCCCCGTGTGCTGTCGAGGGCCTCTAGCGGGCGCTCCCTTGATAACACCCCACCCCCGTCGCTGTTGTTGTCGGGGGCCTCCCGCGCCCCAGGAGGTTTCCCAGGGCGATGCTCTGGTCCCTGGGTCCTTTGATCTCATCTCCCTAGTTTAGCCTTTGAACTCCATTTCAGATTGAGAGGTTTCAGGCTGGAGTGACATGGAGGGACGTGCCTGACTTCTGGAGGATAAGAGGCGGCCCACCCCACAGCTCTTCCAGCGTGGGAGCTCTGAACATGGGACCCGGAGCACCACCGTTTAGCAAACCTTGCTGCAGTTTGGAGAGAGTGTCGCGGGCGCCTGGCCTGTCCGGCAGGCTGGGTGGCTGTTCTCTGTTGAGCCCACAGCCATGCCCCACATGCAGGACGTTTGCCTATCACTTGGAGGCCTTTCAGGGATCTTGCTAGCCCACGGCTGAGCACAGGGTAGACCTCACCAACTCACCCACAACCTGGCCCCTTGACACACTGGTGCTGTGAGGAGGAAGATGTGGGCACTCTTAGGTCCCTGGTCCTAGGGGTCTGTGCTGGGGTGGGGCTCGTTGACCTGCATCCTGGCTGGCCCTGTGACTCTGCCTGTTTACAGTGAGCAGCTCCTGGCCAAAAGCTGCTTATTGGATTAGCCGGTGCCCCGACGGCAGAGCCCGCAGCTGTGCGCAGGAGGACGAACCTGTGTGTATGTCCTGCTTCAGCGCGCTCCTGGGGTCCCTTGAGTTGGTCTCTGTGACTAGAAGGACAGTGCTGGCCACGCAGGTGGCACCCTGGGGGTGCCCAGCACCCACTTCCTGCTGAGCAGATGCTCTGGGTGGCAACGGCCCCTGCCAAGCCTGGGCAGCTCAGGCCAGGTCCTAATCCCTCCGCTTGAGCTCGGCTCCTCACCCTTTGGCCAGGCTGACACCTGCTCCCCGCAGGTCCTTCTCGCCGGCTTCAGGCAGCACAGGACCGAGGGCTGAAGATGCTGAGCAGCTACCCGGCCTGCCTCTTCTCAGGGATCTGTGTGGCCCTGCTGGCGGTGGCTTTGGCCTATTACTTCTACTGGTGAGTGAGGCCGGGGCCCGGGGGCCTGGGCAGTCCTGGGGGCCTTTACTGTGTGCTCCCCTCCTCTTCCAGCCCTGGACCGTTCTCTGCATGTCAACAAACCCTGCCTAGCCCTTTGCAGGGGAACTCCTGGGAGGTAGGGAAGCAGGGGATGGCAGGAACTCATTCTGATCCCTCCTGGGGTCCTTGGGCAGCTCTCCCATCCTTCTGCAAAGGGGTTTTTGTTCAGAACATTCCTGAAGGAGCTGAGCGGTTTCATACCATCTGGGCGGTGTTTGTAGATGCCTGGCATGTCCTGGGACGGACAAGTGCCTGATGTATGGGCACAGACTCCCACTGCCCCCCAAGGCAGGTGCTGTAGGATGGCTGATTTACATGGTGATCTGCACCCTGAGCAGAAAATGCGTAGTTACCATCAAAGTGGCGCTGCTCTGTCACACCCATTGCCTGATGGGCTGGTTTATGGTGATCGCAGGCGATTTCCCAGCTGCCCTTGACCAGAGTCCGTGCCGGCTCTTACTGCAGAAGCCGAGAATCAGCAGGTGTCACAGATCACGCTGGCCTAGGATTTCAGAGACTCGGTCCCAACCCCGCTGTGTCTCCGGGCTGGGATTAGATGGGGTGTTTGTGCTCCAGGCCTCCAGTGCTCGTTGGTAAAACGGGACACTGATGCCGCCTGCTGTTTCTGCAGAGGGTCAAAGGGCACAAGATGCGTGCCAGCCTCTGTCCATGGGGTGTGTGATGATGGTACCAGGTGGTGCAGGGGGCAGCTGGGGGGACCCAAAAACCCCAAGTCTGGGTGCCAACTTTATTTTCTAGAGCCGGAGAACGAGGTGATTTCCTAGGAAGAGACCACAGCTCCCCTGGAGGTTCCACGCTAGACTGTGTTTGTTTTTCTTGGTGCACACTTGGCCAGGAGCTGCTTCTCTCTGATCTGGAAGCTTTCTCTTCTATAGATCCGATTAATGCACTTCCATTGCTAACAGCGGGGAGGGTCACTGCAGGTGACACAGGCAGGAGGATGCCCAGTCTTCCCCATGACTCAGTTTATGTAAAAACGATCAATACTATTTACAAAGAGGTTTACCCAGAGCCAAAAGACAGAATCCTAAGGCTGAGGCAGGAGGATCCCTTGAGCTCAGGAGGTCAAGGCCACAGTGAGCTGTGATTACGCCACTGCACTCCAGCCTGGGCAACAGAGCGAGACCCCATCTCTAAAAAACAAACAGAACCTAAGTGTGGAATTTAGGAGACAAATTAGCTTGGGATTTGGGGCCTCTGAGAGTTTGAGCAAGGGGGTCGGTCATTGGTGAGGGTTCCAAAACCCCAGGAGCAACCGCTCACTCATCCTCAACCTGGGGCTACCGCGAGTGTGACGGGGGCCATGTATACAGGGCAGGCTGGCCCCAGCGAGCGGGCGACTCTGGCAGCTTCCACGGACCGTTCCTGGCGCCTGGGCGGAGAAAGGGTATCAAATCATTTCCTGGGATTCGTGGCTGAGCTATGCAGTTTCACAAATGCTCAAAATGATGAAAGACCTATTAGGTGTTGGGAAAAGAGCGCCTCTGTCTGGGAAGAGTGCCGCATTGCGCCTGAGCAGCTGCTCGTAATTGGCTTATGCCAAGCCTCTCAGCTTCAGCCTGCTGACCAGGTGGCAGGGGACTGGCTGTGCCACCTCCTCACCCACAGCGTTTCCAAGGATGTGCATTTCTCCTTTGCCCTCAGGTCTTCAGTAAGTTAGCTGTGGAATTCGAGGCCTCAAGTGGTGGCCTGCGCCGTGGCAGCGTACCCACAGGTGCCATTTAGTGGCACTTGCAGTACGACCTGGGAGCTTCCGGAACCTGTGGGCTTGTGAGGTCCCTGTTGATCCTGTTTGACCTGGAGGGCCACAGAGGCGGCTTGGTTTTTTTGTGGGGACAGAGACGTTGAGCGTCACGGTGGGTGCTAGGCCTGTAATAGGAGCGATTCTGCATTGATGGCACCACGGGTCCAGGGAGGCCTCGCCAGCTCCCTCCCAGAGCAGGAAGGCGGGCTGGCCACTCACCAGGAGCCTGGGAGTCTGGCGTCCTTCACGAGGCGCTCCTGAAGCACCTCTGCCTACCCTGCATTCGCCACACGTGCCCAGGTACCTGGCGACGGACAGCAGGGAGCCCACAATGCCAGCTCTTCCTGGAGACGCCCGCCCCTGCGGTGGCCACTGGTGTTCAGTATGTGACTCTCTGAGCGTGGGGTTCTAGACCAGGAACCCTCTGTGCTCGGTCCACATGAAAAGAGCAGCTTCTCGTTCATCTTCAGAGACCTGTTCTTAATGGGCAGCAGGGGCTCCGAATGCTGAGAAAACCCCACAGGTGGCAGCTGGGTGCCTGGCCCTGCAGCCACGCCTGCCCGCGGTCACCCTAGGGTGCAGCGGTCACCCTGGGCTGCTGTGGTCAGGTGGGGTCTTGTCTTTAGCCCCCTTCGGTGGCTCACTTGGCGGGAGGAGGGTGGCACGGCGGTGCCATTGCCTCATCTGGGCTCAGGGAGACAAGGCAGGACCTCTGTTCTGTCTCCCGTCACCTGTGTTGTATACAGAGAAAAAGCCGTCCTGGCAGCCCTCAGAGCCCCTTGCCTGTTGGGGATGGAGGAAGACAGGCCTCGGAGCCTTGTTCATCTGGCATTTCCACAGCAGAGGGAGGGAGGCCCGCTCCCCAGGGCTGGGTGGCCAGGGTGCATGGTCATGCTGGGACATCATTTTCTTTTTTTCTTTTTTTTGGTGGGGGGCGGGATGGAGTCTCGCTCTGTCGCTCAGGCTGGAGTGCAGTGGAGTGATCTCAGCTCACTGCAAGCTCCGTCTCCCAGGTTCACACCATTCTCCTGCCTCAGCCTCCCGAGTAGCTGGGACTACAGGTGCCGGCCACCACGCCCGGCTAATTTTTTGTATTTTTAATAGAGACGGGGTTTCACCGTGTTAGCCAGGATGATCTCGATCTCCTGACCTCGTGATCCACCTGCCTCGGCCTCCCAAAGTGCTGGGATTACAGGCGTGAGCCACTGCGCCCACCCGGGACATCATTTTCTACTTGTAAACCAGAAACCTCCTTCCTCCCTCCTGCCGTCCCATAGGATTTTATCGATCACCTACTGTATACCAGGCACTGGCTAAGCCCTGCACGCACAGTGGTGAGCAGGCAGTCCTCACCCTCCTGGGGCTCGATTTCCCAGAACCCTCAAGAGAAAGCCAGTCCTCAGGGGTCAGCAAGTTCCACATTCAGCTTCAGCTTTCGGCCATTCCTGCCGCCAGGCCACGCTGAGAGTCTGCCGGGGCACCTCGGTTCCCTGCGCCTGGCCTGCCAGGCCTCAGCCGCCACGGCCTGTGTCACGGAGGAAGGGGGCTGCAGCTGCACCCCCGGGAGGGGAGGTTGGAGTCGGGGTGGGGCGGGCCGCGTGCTGTTGGTGTAGGGTGGGCGATGGCAGTAGTGGCAGCTTATTACCACATCAGGAGAGGCCGGAGCGTTTTCAGCAAGGTCAGAAGCCTGCGCTGTGTTTAAAATCAGGGCGAGAGGGAGACAGGGAGGGAACGTTCCGCCGCCTAAACCACTTTCCCGCCGCATCTTTCACCTGGAGTGGAGGGGCAAGTGCCTGGGCCCAGTGGTGGCAGCTTCGGGAGGGTTCCATGAGGCTGCCTCGGGAAGCAAGGGTCCCGGCAGAGCTGGGTGTTCTCCTGGGCCCCCTCAGGACAGCAGCATCCACTTCAGGCGCCGCCTCTCTAAGGAGCCACACCTCCCTCTCGGGCCAAGTATGGAAACGAGCCACAGCACCACGTGTGCTAGGGCCCCAGCATTTCACCCACGTGGCAGAATCTGTGCCCCAAATGTCACAGCCCCTCCCCACCTCGGAAATGCAGGCTGAGTGGAGGCCCCGGCCCTCGCCACTCTGGAGCGATGGCTATTTCAGGCTCCAGGAGGCCGCTGAGTGGTTCCCGGGCTGGCCCTGCATTGCGGCTGGGCAGGGGCCACACGTCCCTCCCCCGTGGGCCCTGGGTGCCTGGAATCTGGAGCAGAGAGAGAGAGGGAAGGTAACAGCGTGGCCTGTACATCCCTGCCTGCAGGCGCTGGCCTTGCTGTCCCTGGGTGCTGCCTGTGTACTCCAGGGCACTCTCTTTCCTGGAGAGGAGGCCGCGGGAGTCATCGCGGGGCAGATCCTGGAGGCCAGCAAGGCCGCCCCTCCTCCTAAGTGGCACTGATTGACAGGGGAGAAAGACAGAGGCTTGTTCCCCAGAAAAGCACAGAAAACCAGCCTTGTTCCTCAGACAGGAGATGCATGTGCCGGGAGGCAGGCAGGGGGACGGCTGTGCTCGGCCTCTGTGCAGTGGGATTATTAGGGACAAATTCCAGAACAAAACTTGGGTTTCATCTAAGCTTTTTGGGGATTTGGGGAAAGCAGAAGAAAAGAGGGAGCCCAGGAGGAGGTCAATACACCGTGCCAGGAAATGAGGAAAAGCTCAGATGTGCAGTGTCAGCGCTTTTCCATGAATCACCTCTTACCTCTAGAACAGCAAGTGCGGGAGGTGTCCAGGTGCGGGGGGGCCACGTGCCCTCAGGGGCTTCCCTCCCCAGCCCGCCTGGAGACATCATCACTGACTCAGCTCCGGCAGGCAAGGGTCCCTCGGGGTCTACCACTGGGATTGACGCCAGCAAGTCGGACCCTTTCTCAGAAGCCCAGAGGGAGGGCAGAGCCGTAGCCACAGTTTGGAGGCATCTGCTGGGCTAGTGCATGTTTTAACAGCACCTATGACAAGGTGAGGCAGCATGGGTGGCCCTGCAGGTGGCGGTTTGCATATGTGCACATCCAGCCAGCTCCGTTTTCCAGTCTGGGGACTATGGTGACAGGAAGTAAAAAGCCTGCGATTTGGCCTACGGGGTCCCAGGGTCATCCCGGGGTCGCACCTTGGCTACCAGGCTTGAGGGTTCTGTGTGCGATTTCAGGAGAGACACACAGCCCATCGCACACCTGACAGTTGTCACCCTAAAGAAAATTCGGCTGAACTGTGCACATTGGGGAGCATTTTCATTCACATTACACATTTCATTTCACTTCACGTTTTATTGGTTTGAGTAATGGTTTAGAAACTATCTTTTACTTCAAAATGTTTGTGCATCTGAGATTTTCTGACTTTATATCTGGACAGGGCGCCGTAATGGTAGACGATGGCCGAGGTTCAGGGAACCCTGTTTCTGTGGTTCAGGACAGGTCCAGCCTTTCTGAGCCCTGTCCCCGCAGAGAGCCCCCTTTCCAGGCACCCGTGTCTTGGGTCGCCGCTGGCCCTGTGAGGTGACACTCTGCAGCTCTTGCACTGTCCAGGCCAAGGGTGGCTGTTCTGAAACCTACTCGGTTTATTCCATCTTGAATCAATGCATTTTTTCAAGTCCGTGCCTCAGGGTGCCTGTAGAATGACAGATGTGGCATTTCAATCGGTAAATAATGAGTACACCTTTAAGGTCCAGGCACTCTTTGTTTAGAACATTGTGGAATGCCTACATCATCTCATGCTTGCACAGGAGCGTGGCTTTGTCAGAACTCATCCCCAGGCAGCCCTGTGGGCACCTGGTGGGGGCTGGACAGGGGTCACGAGGAGAAGCCAGCAGGAGGGTGGTGGGCCCTCCACCTTGTCCCCGCAGGACTCCCCTCTCTGCCCAGACACACTCAGCCTCCACCAGGACTCAGGGGTTCCAGCCAAGCTCCTCTTACCAACGATGCCCCGTGACTGCCCCAGGGACGGGAGGGCTCAATGCCATTCCCCTGCAGGCCCTGTCTCTCCCCAGCTTCCAGTTGGTTGTCCTGCAGCCTCAGGTCTCTGATGGGATGAAGCAAAGTCGAGAACTTACGGTTTGTCTGGCTTTATTCTTGTGAGAGTGGGAGTGACAAGCTCTGTACATCCCCAGCAGAAACCAGAATTCCACCTCCTACATAACTTTGTAAATTGCAAAATATAATGAAAAGTGCATGAGGCCAGGCACAGTGGCTCACGCCTATAATCCCAGCACTTTGGGAAGCCGAGGTGGGTGGGTCACCTGAGGTCAAGAGTTCGAGATCAGCCTGGCCAACATGGCAAAATCCCTTCTCTACTAAAAATACAAAAATCAGCCAGGCGTGGTAGCCCGCACCTGTAATCCCAGCTACTTGGGAGGCTGAGGCAGGAGAATCACTTGAATCCAGGAGGCAGAGTTTGCAGTGAGCTGAGGTCATGCCACTGCATTCCAGCCTAGGGGACAAAACAAGACTCCTTCTTAAAAAAAAAAAAAAAAGTGCATGAGACATTGATGACCAGTTTAATGAATAAGTATGCAGCAAATATCCATCTGTTTCTATAGAGTAAAAGTAGTTATTATAACGCGTAGTTCGTTGTAAGAAAATTATGTCTAGGTCAACTTAGCTGTGACTGTTTTATGTGTGCATGCATGTATGTGTGTGTGTGTACATGGGCGTGTGTGTGTTTTGGAGTGTGGTCCCCACAAATCTGCCACCCTTGGAGAATGCTCTTCTGCCCTGGTGCATGGCTGTGCCCTAGCATGGGAAGCGCCTGCTGTGTCCTGCAGGCCCGCAGACTTGTCACAGGTCCATTGTGCAGTCATCAGGCCCTGGGAGCTTTCCACATCCCTCCACCTCCCACCCAACATCACCACTCTCCGGCCAGTGAGACCATCACAGCACCCCAGAGGAGACAAATTCTGGAGCTCAGAGAGCTGGGGTAGGTGACGGGAGGGTGGGGGGCTGGAGGTCCTTGGCCAGCAGCCTTCCCATCCTGGGCCACCAGCACCCTCATCCTCCCCTCGTCCTGCCCAGCTCCACCTCCTCCCTGCCCTCTTCCTGCCAGGGTTTGCAGTTTACACTGGCAGTGATGCAGTGGCAGACACAACTTGGGGAAATAACTCTAGGACCCTGGTCTTTAGTTCCGATTCCCGGTGAGACAGTACCTGGCGGGGAGCTTCTCGCCCTCTTCAGAAGTGGCCTGGGGGCCCTGGGGCTACTGATCCAGCCCAAAGCTGCAGTCAGGAGAGCGTGCAGCCGTGTGGGTCTCATAAGAGAGGCCGACCAGGGCTGCCCAAGCGGAGCTTCTGTTTGGCCTCTACCTGCTGGAGTGACGCCCCCGGCATCTCCAGCGAGGCCTGGAAACGTCGCAGTCTCCTCTTCACTGAGTCCAAAGTCACTTCCATCTCGGGCCCGTCCAGTGTCTGTCGGGGCCTTGATTCTGAGATGAGATTGTTTGCTGAAGTGCTCCATGGACTCTTTCAGGAGTGACGTTGTTCTTTCAGGAACTGTAAACGGAGGTGGCATGTAACCAGTGTGGACTAAGAAGCCATGCTGCTGTTTCTTTTCTTTTCTTTTTTTTTTTTTTGAGACAGAGTTTCAAAAAAAACTGCCTCCCGGGTTCAAGTGATTCTCCTGCCTCAGCCTCCTGAGTGGCTGGGATTATAGGCGCCTGCCACCACACCCGGCTAATTTTTTGTATTTTTAGTAGAGACGGGGTTTCACCATGTTGGTGAGACCATCACCATGATGGTCTCAAGCTCCTGACCTCAAGTGATCTGCCCACCTTGGCCTCCCAAAGTGCTGGGATTACAGGCATGAGCCACCGTGCCCAGCCTATGCTGGCTGTTTCTCACAAATGTATATTGAATACGAGCCATTCGCTTAGAAAACATTGATCAAGCATCTGTATTCTATGCCAGGCCCACGTGAGTAAGAGTAATAGCTGTTGATGATGTAAGCTGTGTTTTTGGCCAAAGGTAACAGAGATAGTGATTTAAACACCGTTACCTCTTGTCTTCCCCGCCTCTTGAAGAGGGCAGCTGCTGGTGTGACCTCAGCTGCTCCCCAGACCCTAAGGGGATCTGGGACCTTCCACCTTCTACCAACGGTGTTGGTCTTCTGTCCTCACGCCTATGGTTTCACGCTCCCACAGTGGCTCCTGCACCTTCAGACACTGCCTCCTCACCGAGGGAGGGAAGAACGACAAAGGTGATGACCAGAGGTATTTGTTTCTTGTCTTAGGAAAGCAAAAGCCTCCCTTAAAGCCCCCGCAGACTTCTCCCTGGCTGGACCCAGGGCACATGCCCATCCCATCCCTGGATCACTTGCTCAAAGAGGGGATGGGATTACCTTTATGGCTTAGATCTGGGGCTGGGCTTCCCTCCCATATCCAAGGGTGAGCGCTGCCATAATAGCAGGAGGTTCTGTTACCAGCAAAGGGGGTAGTGGCAGGTAGGTAACTCACAGTGACTTGCATGTTGCAAAAGGCGGGGTTCTGTTATCCGGAATTGGAGGAGTGGTTTTAGGTATGTCATATAATTATGCCTTTAAATCCATTGGTTGAGAAAACAGGCAATGCTAAAAGATTCTCATGAACCTAGCAGCGGTTTTAATTTTGTATTTTATTTATTTTATCAGTATCTAAATACAATAGAAATATAAATACAATAGAAATGGAATGGATCATGTGAGATGTGTGTTGTTGACGAACGTGTAGTCAGTGCTTCATGCACATGGGATCCAAGTCCCCAAACAGTGGCTGCAGATCCACACCCTGCTCCAGGTGCTGAGGTGCCCCAGACAGCTGCTCCTAGTCAGTGAAGCATTGACTCTTTAGTCTCAATTGTTGGTCTGCATGTCTACTGATAAGCCGGTACTGTGCTGTTTTAATTATTGAGGCTTTCTAGATGTTGTAGTGTATTTTAGGGCTATTTTCTTGTTCTTTTTCATGATTTTCCTGGCTTTTCTTCCCTGTTTAGTTTTCCATATGAACTATAGAATCAGTATGTCTAGTTCTGGGGCTGGGGGGGAGCTTTTGCTATTTTAATTAGGATTCAGTTATATATTTAGGTTTATGTATCATTTACATATTACTATCTAACAAACCACCTCAAAATGTATCAATTTAAAACAACCATCATGTCGGGGGGCCCTCAATTCTGTGGGTCAGCAATTTGGGTTGGGCTCAGCAACATGGTTCTTCTGCTGGTTTCCCCTGGGGTCATTGGAGTGGCTGTCGTCAGCTAGAGCTGCCTGGAGAACCTCAGGTGGAATGGCCCATTTCTGGTCCATTTCTGCTCCATGTGGGACCACCTTCTGTCAGACTAGCCCAAGCCACCACCTCTGATGGCCACAAGGGTGTAAGGGAGTGGCAACGCTCTAAAGACTGTCTTGGAAGTCCTGTGACACCAATCCCACCACATTCTATTGATAGGGTGAGCCCTGAAGTCAACCTGGGTTCAAAAGGGTGGGGAGTAGACTCCATGTCTTGGCAGGAGGAGCTGCACGTTACTAAGGGCATGTGTTCAGGGAAGGGGTGGTTGCAGCCTGGTCACACGGGGTTTTTCCATTTGTTCAGCTCTGCTTTTGTATCTTTCAAGATGTTCTGTGGTTTCCTCATAGAGGCTTTATTTCCTCTGAAGCTTTTGTTTAGGTATTTTCTCTTTCTTATTGCAATCTGCGCTCTCCTTCAAGACACCTTCTGCTTTTGTGTGTTCCTGTGGAGGGGTGGTCTGCTGGGCCCCTCTCCTTGGCTCCTGAACACACAAGGGGATCATATATCCATATCCTCCCAAGCTGTAAGCACTTGCGCTGGGCTGCAAACTTGCATCCTACTTGCCGTAGAGGACAGCCCTTCCCCTAAACTTCCAGTTTCCCCCTCTCCCACCTGCCTGAAAGGCACCAGCCAGGCAGTCTTGGAAGCCTCGTGTTGAAGGTGGTGGAGCCCCCAGAGCCTGGGCCCAGATGACCATGTGGGACAGAGCTGCCAGTGACCTAGAGCCATTAAGAGAGCAAGAGATAAACTCTGTGATTGTCTTGGTCTCTTCTGACTGATTCGGAGGCCACTGCAGTCTGCATGTTGTACATTATTCCTGTTAGCATCACTATCAACTCTAGTTCCTGTTGTAGTAGATTTGGATTCTCCTGGGTATTGAGGCTACACAATCGTCTGCACAGACTGACAGTTTCACCTCCTCCTGCCAGACTTTTAGTCTCCTGCTAATTCCAAATGCTGATAAGGTTGGGCTGGCAACAATTTCATATTTTTCAGGCTTATGAAGAGGTAAGGTGGTCTCTGTAAGTGAATTTACCCAAGAACTGAAATTTGCCCTTTAAACCTCAAAATAGGATTGTGTTTGTTTCATCTAAAATTTTAGTTGAATGCTTAGTAGTATCTTCGCTGCTTACCAGACTTCTCAGATAATGTGGTAACTGTGACGCCGCCCTCTCTCAGCATTCGGACGAGATCAGCGTGGGCCACAGTCACCGCATTGTGCCCTCATGCGTGATGTCAGAGAGCCTGCAACCGCGCCCCCGCTGCTCAGTGGCCTCCAAGGGGCCTCAAGTCCTGGGCTCGTTTCTGCCCCAGGTAGTGCTGTCAGCGGCATGCCTGCCTTCTGCAAGCCCCTCTTCCCTGTTCCCCAGCCCGCACTTCCAATGAGCTGTGGGCCAGGAAACCAGCCCGTCACACTTGTCCACGCTGCGTTTAAAGCGGGAGGAAGGAGGACCCAATGCAGGGCCCGAAAGGTCCACTGTGAGTGAAGTCTTTTTCCTTATGGGACACCTAGGCTGGCTTCTCAGAAAGTGTGTGCAGTTTATTTCCGGGTTCTTGGCGGTGTTCTGAATAGTAAACGTTGCCACCTAAATGAAGACCCTTTGAGATATCACTGCGTCTCTACTGTTCCTGATGGTGGACTTTCTCCTCCAGCGTCTGCTGACAGTAACAGTGGAGCTTTCCCCAGCACCCAAGAGCCCGGGGCTCACCGTGGTCCCCTCCTGTGCAGCCAGCACACAAGGCCCTCCCGTGCCACCACCTCGCAGGGGCCAGGTCTGCTCGGCCCACTACACCAGAGCCCTTGGGTGCGGGGTGGGCGGGACAGAGAAGAGGAAGGGGGGAAGGAGGGAGCTGACAGCCGTTTCTCAGTTCCCCATTATGGACTTGGATTTGGATCACTGAAATCCATATGGAACTAAGAAGTTATCTTTATCCCACAACTCAAAACTCCTGTCTAGAGCATCAGAAATGATGTGCTTTTGGCATCCTGAAATGTCTTTCTCCTCCGCCAACTGCTGTCTGCTGAGAGCTAGCCTTGCTCTCGGAAGGGCGGCTTGGGCAGGGCAAAGGGAGAATTCCAGGGTTTGGGAGCATCTGCTGATCCCAGAATAGTTGCCAGTGGTGACATCTTCTTCCTGGACCCCAGGACCCAAGGACAGCAGGTCCCATCCCAGCTCTGCCCAGCTCCTGCCCCTGCACAGAGCAGGACGCCAGCTGGGGTGGGCACTCTGTGGCGTTTTGGGAAGATAGTGCTATATTTCAGAGGCTGTGCCATCTCCTCTGGGGGATTTCAGCGCTGGTGACAGAGGCATGAAAGGCTCATGGATAGACAAACTGGTGTTTACCCCTCATAGAAACGAAGTTGCCGTCCTATGTGTGCAGAGAAAACCAGGGACTCCTCTGTTCAGAAGGAAGAAATGGAGGGGCCTGGTGGGCCTGGCAGCGGTGCGGAGGTGGTGGGCTCGGAACTGTAGTTTCCATTCCATAAAAAGGCGTCTTCGGAAAGGTTGGGGATTTTGGCAAAGAAGGGGGGTCTCTGGGGAGACTGCATGTGGGTGAGATCCTCTGCCTGGCCGGTTTTGGAGGAAGAGGGTCACAGGGACCAGCGACGGGGAGGAGGGTCCACATGCTGCAGCGAAGGACCTGGGGCAGGCAGGGGGTGGGCTGGATGGCGGAACACGGGGATGGGCCCGTACCTCTCCAGAACTACGGACCTGGGATGAGGCGGCCTGTGAGTGCGATTGGGCTGTGTGACGGCACCAGAGGCGGGGCTGCAGCTGCAGGCTTTTGTCGTCCTGTGGTCCTGGAGGCTGCAGGTCCAAGGTCAAGGATTCCTTCTGAGGCTTCTCACCCGGGCTCTGACTGCAGGCGGTCTCCCTTTTTCATAAGGACACCGGTCAGATGGAATCAGCGCCCACCCTGATGATATCATTTAACTTAATTACTGTGTTAAAGGCCCTGTCTCCAAATAAGGTCACATTTCGAGGACCTGGGCATTACCTTTGTGGAAGGAACTCAGTTCACCCTAACAAAAGGTGGCAGAATTGGGTGTGGGCGTGTGGGGCTGGGCTCTGATTGGCAAGCAGTGCTCTGGCCCTGCCCAGGCAGAGGCAGCCTCGTGCCTCACCTTTGCTCCCCTGATCTAAGAAGGTGCACACCCCGGTAGCTTGTGCAGGGGCCAGGACAAAACCCAAGAAGCAGCCATCACGCCCCAGGACCAAGATGTGCTGGCGCCAGGCTTCCGGGCAACCTAAATCTGTTGTTTAATGAAGACGCGCTGGCACCAAGCTTCTGGGCGACCTAAACCTGTTGTTTAATGAAGGGGCTCAGAAGCAACTCAGTGTCCTCAGTGTCTCGGTGGCATCTGAGCAGCCATGAAAAGGTGCCATGGGGACTGGAGAGGCCCACTGTCACACCTCCCAGCCCCAGCCCCAGAAATCAGATGGAGCCCCAGAGGTCCCACCCCTGAGGTCCCACCCTGTGTGGCTCTTCTATCCCAGGCGTTCTCCAAGGTCCCCAGGGTGCTGGGGGCTGCCCAGGCTATCTGCTGCGGTCAGGGTGTCAGTGGTGCCACCATAACCAAGTGAGGCGAGGTTCCACATCGCCGGCCAAGTGGCTTTATGGGCCTCCAGTGGGATGTGGCAGGAAGTACCCAGCGGCTCTGCCATGCATTCTTGACCAGAAATGTTGAACCCGAGTTAATTGTGAGGAAACGGACAAATCCAGGGTGTGGGGCACGCCGCAGAGAGCTGCCTTAGCCGCTTCAACACCATCAGGCCAGAGTAGGCGGGGAGCGTCTCGGGGAAAGGGGACAGAGAGACGTGCCATCCAAATGCATGTGTGTCCTCCACGGGGCCCTGCATCCCCGCAGCTAGGAAGGTCATCTGGGGACAGTTGGTGAAATGGAAACAGGGACGGGATGTTCGGCAGTATTCTGTCGGTATTCATTTCTTGGGTGTGCTCATGGTGTCCTAGTGAGCAGGCTGTCCTGATTCGTAGGAGATGTGGACGGACATGGAGGGAGTGCCGTGACGTAGCCCAGGAGACCTTTTTAGCTTAAAGCCTGTGCATAAGAAATAGGCAAGTGAGTTTTAGATGTTCATACATATTTCATTGCAGAATATTAGTTTAGGGTGATCAATAAAAGACTTTCAAGCCTAATGTTAAGCAAAAGAGACTTTTAATATATTCCACAATGATAAAATCCTGTGGAAGAAGGGCAGTGGGAATGCAGATTCCAGGAGCAAGTGGAACGAAGCCAGCTGTCCAGAAGAGCTTTTTTTGTGGGGTTTGAAAACAGGTGCCAATGGTGGCTGTCAAATCATGATGGCATTTAGGTTCTACTAGCTACATTGGAGAGAAAGAAAAACACTATGCTTTACAGAGTCAAAATCTACAATATGCCAGACTTTACACCCCTTGCATATTTAAACTTGGGCTTAAAAATGTAGAAGCTGGCTGGTTGCAGTGGCTCATGCCTGTAATCCCAGCACTCTGGGAGGCTGAAGCCAGAGAATCACTTGAGCCTAGGAGATCAAGGCTGTGTGAGCCATGATGGCATCGCTGCCCTCCAGCCTGGGTGACAGAGTGATATTCTGTCTCTATAAATAAATAGATGAAAAATAAAAAATAAAAATGTAGACGTCAACTTCACATTGTCTGGGGATGCATAATTTCCTAAAAATCGCTCTCATGGGCTCACGAGCAAATGCTCTAGGGGGCCACTGAGTCCAGGCCCCTCCCAATGCTTTCCTGCTCTGCCAGCCCAAAGGACTTTGAAGCTGGAGGCGGGGACCGGTGTGGCCAAGCAGGGCACCTTCCTCACCGTCACCCTTCTGCAGGGAGGGAGGTGGCCTCTGCCTGCTGCCATTGGAGGTTTGTGCAGTCAGGTTTATCAAGGAGGTCCAGGCGGGCTGGGTGTGGGGAGGTGGAACAGGGTACCTGCGAGGTCTGTGAGTGAAACTACACTGCTGGCTGGACAGAGACATGGCAATGACCCAGGGAAACCGTGTTGAGCGCTCTGGTGGGGGCAGGCGGGCGGGAGAGGCCCCTGAGTTCCGCTAGCTGGAATTAAGCAGGTGAACAGCAGATGTTTCTTGGAATGGAGTCTGGTCCATAGTAAGTGATGAAGATGTGTTTTGACTCCGTATCTAGGACCTCCAGGACGTAGAGGTTGATGATCCGGGCAGGTGGCCTTCAGCGAGGGAGCACGTCAAAAGGCTGTGGGCCGTGCAGACAGCTGGGGGACACCGTCCCGGGTGTGACCTTGGGCCACACGGCAGGGTGGTGGACTTGCTCCTAGAATTGGGCTCCAGGGCTGAAGCCAGCCCCTCTGATCTGGCACTGGCCGGCTCCATTCACCCTTTTTGGGGCTTACTGCCGCAGAGACTTCCTTTGAGGAGAGCTGGACCCAAGACGCCAGAGTTCCGGGGGCACTGAGTGCTGTGTGGCACCCGGGCCAGGAGAAACATGTGCCAGAGGGCAGGCGTGGGCTCTCCGGGGAGTCTCTGCGTAGACTTTCTAGCCCAGAGGTTCAGGTGATGGACCAGAGACTGGCCGCTTTGTGACACCGAGGACGGTTGATAAAGTGGATTCTCGAGGGGAAGCTGCATCCACACAGAGGCTGGGACGTGAATGTGCATCACGGCTCTATCTGTGGCCCCCAAAGGCTGGGTGCCAGCTGCCTGTCGGCAGGGAGCGTATCACCGTGGCACGTCCATGCCGTGGGGGTCACTCAGCAGCCACGGATGCGCCCTGGGTGCTGTCCCGGGGCCGTCTCAGAAGCACCGCGCTGGACCGGCTGGGCCAGATGCCATGGGATTCTGTGTTTGTGAACCTCTAGAAAAGGTAAATTAACCTATAGAGCTGGAAAGCTGACCTGCATTGTCAGGCTGGGTGGGGAAGGACTTGGATGGAAATGTTCCCTGTTGCAGTGTGGTGGGGTCACAGGCGGCTTAGCTTGTCAACACCCATAACGCTATGCACGGACACTCGGCAAACCCATCTTAATCGTGTGTTATTTATTCCTGGATGAAGTTCTTTTCTTTTTTGAGATGGAGTTTCACTCTTGTCACCCAGGCTGGAGTGCAGTGGTGCGATCTCAGCTCACTGCAGCCTCCTCCTCCCAGGTTCAAGCTATTTTCCTGCCTCGGCCTCCCAAAGTGCTCAGATTACAGGTGTGAGCCACCGCGCCCGGCTGAGAATCTGATTTTTAAAAATAAACGTCATGACTGGGTGCGGTGGCTCACACCTGTAATCCCAGCGCTTTGGGAGGTCGAGTTGGGCGGATTACCTGAGGTCAGGAGATCGAGGCCAGCCTGGCCAACATGGCGAAACCCCATCTCTACTAAACATACAAAAATTTGCTGGACATGGTGGTGCATACCTGTGGTCCCAGCTACTCGGGAGGCTGAGGCATGAGAATTGCTTGAACCCAGGAAGCTGCAGTGAGCCAAGATGGCACCACAGCACTCTAACCTGGGCAACAGTGAGATAATCTGTCTCAAAAAAAAAAAAAAAAATCAGATTCCTGTACTTTGCGCCGTAGCAACGGAATCAGCAGGTCTGCTGTGGAGCCCGGGCATCTGCTTCTCGGAGCATCACAGCTGATGTGCTGGCCCTCAAGCAGGCTTCTTGGGACCCTGGTTCTTCTGGGCCAGTGTGGAGTGATGTGTGCCCCTGGGTGAGGACCACCTGGTCTCCTGGGGCTCTGCTGTGTGCCAGGTGGGGGCCAGGTGATGGGCTGCAGGGCGGCCCCCACCCTGTACAACTCAGGATCTGGTCGAATATATCGTCTCTAGCTCAAGAAAGGCGTTCTGAAACAGCAAGCCTGGTCTGCCCAGCGTGTCTGAGGCTCTGCTCTAAGGGGCCCCTGCCCACCCTGGGGGGGCTGCAGTGTGTCTGGGCGAGCACTGACTTCTGAGCCTCGCTATCTGGACTGGCACTGGCTCTACTGCTGACTCCCTGTGTGGCCCCATATGATGCACGAAGCCTCTCTGTGCTTCTGTTTGCTCACCTGTCAACTGGGGCAGTGATGGCATCCTGCTGGGGTCATCTGAGAGTCTGGAATGCGTGAGAGGTGTTCAACACAGACCGTGGAACAAGTTAAGCCCATAAAAAGTGTTTTTGTTGCCCCCTTGTCTTTTCTGTCCTTTCTGTCTAGGGTATTAATTTCCTGTTGCTGCTTTAATGAATCAGCCCACAGTGTGGGGGCATCAAACAGTACAACTCCTTAACCCCACAGTGTGTGGAGTCAGCAATTCAGGAGCGACTTAGCTGGGTGCTGTGGGGTTGCAGGTGAGCTGAGGCCAGGGCTGGGCTCATCTGAAGGTTTGACCAGGGCCAGAGGGCCTGCCTCCCAGGTGGCCCCCTCAGGAGTAGGAGGTCAGCCCCTTCCGCGCAGGAAGGACCTGCCGCTCACACATCCTTGTGATGTGGCCATCCTGGGAGCAGAGCCAGGCAGAAACTGTCCTTTTTGTGACCTAGCCTTGGCAATCACGTAGCACATTTCTGCAAGGCTGTTCATCAGATGCAATGACCAAGTCCAGGCCATAGTCAGAAAGGGAAGAAGACCCCTCCACCTTTCGAGGGGAGGAGCGAAAGTGTTTCAGGCCCATTCCTAAACCATGACCAGAGCTCTTGTCCCCACGGTTTCTGGGGAGCCAAGGGCCCAGTGTCTGGGAGAGGTGACTTTTAATGCCCCATAGGTTGAGAACGTCCAAGGGTGGTGGGAGTGACACTGGCATCTGTGGCCCCCGAGTGCCATTCAAGGCAGCGCCTGCAAATCCCTGAGAGGCAGAGGGTGGGGGCCTGTATGGAGGGCGCTCTGTGGAGTCGGGACAGGGGGTTTCATGGGCGGGTGGGGTGGGCGCCCATGGAGAGCCTTGCTCTGGGTGCAAGAATGGCCACAGTGGGGGCAGCTGGCGGTGTGGAACAGGGGCCGCCCTGGGAATGTGGAAGGCCAGCTGGTGCCACTCCAGAGCCCACCCCTTTGCCCCATGGGAGTGCACTCAGTGCCCTTCCAGAGGACCAAGTCAGGGGTTGGCAGCACCGCCAGCCTGACTGCCAGGGTTTCCCCTCCACACGGGGGGTCTCGGGTTTCCCCTCCACACGGGGGGTCTCGGGTTTCCCCTCCACACGGGGGTCTCGGGTTTCCCCCTCCACACGGGGGTCTCGGGTTTCCCCCTCCACACGGGGTTTCCCCCTCCACGCGGGGGTCTCGGGTTTCCCCCTGCACACAGGGATCTCGGGTTTCCCCCTCCACACGGGGGTCTCGGGTTTCCCCCTCCACAGGGGGGTCTCGGGTTTCCCCCTCCACACGGGGGTCTCTGGTTTCCCCCTCCACACGGGGTTTCCCCTCCACACGGGGGTCTCGGGTTTCCCCCTGCACATGGGGGTCTCGGGTTTTCCCCTCCACACTGGGGTCTCGGGTTTCCCCCTCCACACGGGGGTTGTAGGGCCGCTCAGTAGGAGTGCTGCCAAGAGTGGAGGGGGGCCACCGGCTTCCCTGCTGAAACTGTGAGACGTGCGTAGAAGGAAAGGGGGAGCCGGTGGAGCCCCTGGGGAGTCGCTCCTTTTGTGCAGGAAACCAGAACAGAAATCTTTCACGCTTCAAATACGCACACGAGTGTGGGAGTGAAAAGCATTGATTCCCACACTGAGGGGTTTGTGAGGCCTCCTGGCTCTGTTTGCAGAGATTGATTGTGCAGTTTGGATCTTTTAAATGAGATACTAAATCAAATAAAAATTATGATGCCTTCACCACAAGTTAATCACTATCAATATTTGGGTGTATTTCTTCTAGTCTTTTCGTTTTTTCTTTCTGGTTTGCATGGGAGAGTGTGTGTGTGTGAGTGTGGCATGTTTATGTGTATAGTGCTTGTTGTGTGTGTGAGACTGTGGTGCATATGAGTGTGCATGGGGTGGGGGGATGTGTTGCAGTGTGTGGTGTGTGGTACAATTGTGTGTGTGTGGTGTAGAGTATGGGGCTGTGTGCAGCAGTGCGTGTGGGATGTGGTGTATGTGTTTTGCACTGTGGTGTGTGTGGTTTGTGCTACAGTGTGTGTGGTTTGTGGTATGGTGCTTGCAGTGTGGTATGCACCATATGTGTGAGCGTGTGTGTCGTTTTTGGTGTGTGGTGTAGGTGTGGTTTGTGGTGTGTGTGGTGCGTGTGGCGTGTGTGTGGTTTGTGGTGTGTGTGGCATATGTGTGGTTTGTAGTGTGTGTATGTGGCGTGTATGTGGTTTGTGGTGTGGTGTGGTATATGTAGCATGTGTATGGTTTGTGGTGTGTGGTGTGTATGTGGCATATGTGTGGTTTGTGATGTGTGGTGTGTGTGGCATGTGTGTGGTTTGCAGTGTGTAGTGTGTGTGGTTTGTGATGTGTGTGTGGCATATGTGTGGTTTGCAGTGTGTGTAGTGTGTGTGGTTTGTGATGTGTGGTGTGTGTGGCATGTGTGGTTTGCGGTGTGTGTGTGGTGTGTGGTGTGTATGGTGTGTGTGTGGGTGGTGGGGTGGTGTGTGTGTGGCATGTGTGTGGCTTGTGTGTGTGTGGCGTGTATGTGGTTTTGCGGTGTGTGTGGCATGTGTGTGGTTTGCGGTGTGTGTGTAGCATGTGTGTGGTTTGCAGTGTGGTGTGTGTGGCATGTGTGTGGTTTGTGGTATGGTATGCGTGGTGTGTGTGGTTTGTGGTGTGTGTGTGTCATGTGTGTGGTTTGCAGTGTGTGTGTGTGGCATGTGTTTGGTTTGCGGTATGTGTGTGGCGTGTGTGGTGTGTGTGGTTTGCAGTGTGTGTGGCGTGTGTGGTGTGTGATGTGTGGCATGTGGGGTTTGTGATGTGGTGTGTGTGTGGTGTGTGGTTTGCGGTGTGTGTGGCATGTGTGTGGCATGTGTGGGGTTTGTGATGAGCTGTGGTGTGTGGCGTGTGTGTGGTTGTGTGTGTGTGGCGTGTGTGTGGTATGTGTGTGGCATGTGTGGTTTGTGGTGTGTGTGTGACGTGTGGTTTGCAGTGGTGTGTGTGTGGTTTGTGGTGTGTGGCGTGTGTGTGGTTTGCAGTGTGGTGTGTGTGGCATGTGTGTGGTTTGTATGTGTGTGGCACGTGTGTGGGGTTTGCAGTGTGCTGTGCAGCATGTGTGTATAAGCGTGAGGCATGTGCGGGGTGTGCAGTGAGCAGTGCCCCGGTGTTCCTGTGAGGGTGTGGGCGTGGCCACCCTGACGCTGTCCCTGTCCCTGTCTTTGCAGGACGGCTGTCCTCAGCGAGGGGCCGTGCACCCGCTCCTGAGCAGCGCCATGGGCCTGCTGGCCTTCCTGAAGACCCAGTTCGTGCTGCACCTGCTGGTCGGCTTTGTCTTCGTGGTGAGTGGTCTGGTCATCAACTTCGTCCAGCTGTGCACGCTGGCGCTCTGGCCGGTCAGCAAGCAGCTCTACCGCCGCCTCAACTGCCGCCTCGCCTACTCACTCTGGAGCCGTGAGTGTCTGCTGGGCCAGTCCCTGCCGCCTGGGGCTCCCGTGGGGGTGGCGCGCGACCATGCACGGGGCAGCCGTGGGCTCTCAGGCAGGAAGTGAGGGCTATGCAGGAGGTGCCGAGGCCATCTGGCTGGCAGGCTGTCGGAAGGCACCTGGCTACCTCTTTTTCTTAGCTTGAGCTGTGTGACGTGCCACTCTCACCATTCTGACCCATAGCAATGGCAGCTTCCCACGGTTTACCAGAGCATATGGGAATGTTTAAACAAAAGTAAAGAGAATGTTGAGTTCTGTTTACCCGTTACCAAGCTCCAACAGCTCCCTACATGGCCCCTCGTGTGTCCTGCCCACACTGCGCCAACACCAGAGCATGCTGACGCGTATTTCAGCATGCATCCCTGAAAGAAAAGGTGTCCTGCCTCCCTGCGTATCAAACACATGTGTAGCTGTGTGTCTGTCCGTATGTGCCTCTGTGCGTATGTGTATTATACATAGAGAAACCGATCTGTACCTGTCATGTGGACAGAGACTCAGAGGCTTGGTAACAACACCCACTGTGGACAGGTAACCGCTCACACCGGGCGTCGTGGGGACATGAACAGGCGCATCTCTGGAGGGTGGTTTGGCAGTGGCCGTCAACAGTTTAAGTGGTTGCAATTTTCAACTCAGCAATTCCACAGAATAACATGCAACCTACAGAGATGTGCAAAAGTATGCAACTGGACAGGTGTTCTCATTTTATCACAGGTATTCTCATTATTGTATTATTTTTATAGTAGCACAAAACTAGAAGCAACCCAAGCACCTGTCACTGGAGACTAATTATGCGGCACCCATACAGGGACCCTCTGCGGCCATCATGGAGAGCCTTCATCTTGCCCGTACAGTTTTAAGCGAAAAAGGAAGTATACAACAAAGTCCATAGTATGCTATGATTCATTTTGTGTCTTAAGAAAGGATGCTGTGTGTGTGGTGTGTACATGTGTGGAAAAATCCCAGAAGGGGCTGGGCATGGTGGCTCATGCCTGTAATCCCAGCACTTTGAGAGGCTGAGGCAGGTGGATCACCTGAGGTCAGGAGTTCAAGGCCAGCCTGAGCAACATGGTGAAACCCTGTCTCTACTAAAAATACAAAATTAGCTGAGCATGGTGGTACACACCTGTAATCCCAGCTACTCGGGAGGCTGAGGCAGGAGAACTGCTTGAACCTGGGAGGTGGAGGCTGCAGTGAGCTGAGATCACACCACTGCACCACTCCAGCCTGGGCAACAGAGCAAGACTCTGTCTAAAAAAAAAAAAAAAGAAAACAAAAATCTCAGAAGGATGCCCGAGAAAACTGCGTGATGCTGATATCCAGGGAGTGGGGAAAGGAGGGGATTCTTACGTTTTATTTCACACTCTCATGCTGTTTCCATGTTTTTGCATGAGCGCATAGACACTTCGTCTCATATGGGAAACGGTGAGCGCATAGACACTTTGTCTCGTGGGAAACGGTAAGCGCGTAGACACTTTGTCTCACGTGAGAAATGGTGAACCCACATACACTTTGTCTCATATGGGAAACGGTGAGCGCATAGACACTTTGTCTCATGTGGGAAAGGGTGAGCACGTAGACACTTTGTCTCATATGGAAAACAGTGAACGCGTAGACACTTTGTCTCGTGGGAAACGGTGAGCGCGTATACACTTTGTCTCATATGGAAAACAGTGAGCGCGTAGACACTTTGTCTCGTGGGAAATGGTGAACCCACATACACTTTGTCTCATATGGGAAACGGTGAGCGCGTATACGCTTTGTCTCATGTGGGAAATGGTGAGCGCATAGATACTTTGTCTCATGTGGGAAATGGTGAACCCACATACACTTTGTCTCATATGGAAAACGGTGAGCGCGTATACACTTTGTCTCATGTAGGAAATGGTGAGCGCATAGACACTTTGTCTCATATGGGAAATGGCTGGCCTGTAACCTTGTCTGCACGATCTCCTTCCAGTTCAGGAGCCGGTAGCACTGCTGAAAAGGCTGTTTATGTCAGCTAACTTTTCATGCCTGCGACACCCCACTGTCTGCAGAGAGACTAGTAACCCAGCCCTTAGACTAGCTTGTCTTAAATGTGTTATAGCTTCAGTTCCTGGTTTGTTTTTTCTCTTTTTTTTTTTTTTTGAGACTGAGTCTCGCTCTGTTGCCCAGGCTGGAGTGCAGTGGTGCGATCTCGGCTCACTGCAAGCTCTGCCTCCTGGGTTCACGCCATTCTCCTGCCTCAGCCTCCCGAGTAGCTGGGACTACAGGCACCCGCCACCACTCCTGGCTAATTTTTTTTGTATTTTTAGTAGAGACGGGGTTTCACTGTGTTAGCCAGGATGGTTTTGATCTCCTGACCTCGTGATCTGCCCACCTCGGCCTCCGAAAGTGCTGGGATTACAGGCGTGAGCCACCGCGCCCGGCCAGTTTGTTTCCTTTTTTAAATGAAAGGCTGCTGCTTTTTTCTGTGGGAAGGGAGAATTGGAAATCCTATAATATAAAATATACAAATGAGTTATTCATGAGTATAACTGGATAAGATGAATACATACAAAAAGGGCAAATATTAACTGATGAAAACTAAATTACAGACTCCTACTTTCTAGCAGTATTCTGAAGCTAAAATACTACAAAACAGCTAAATCCTGCCTGAAACTGGCTTTTTAATGCATTTCTGGGCTCACAGTAAGGAAACAAAAACCTCTCAGCTCCACCCTTCCACCAAATCCCTTTAGCAAAAACCGGGGTGTGCAGAAATGGAATGTCAGCACTGCCTTTCAGGAGCCTAACCCTTGGGCAGCTGTAGCAGAGGGCGCTGAAGCTAAACCAGGACTCTTGAGCGAGGGCGCGAGACAAGCTAGGGTTAACAGTGACCCTTGGGTTTCAGCAGAGGCAAACGAAAGTACACTCTGGAGAAAGTCTCATTCAGGCCTGAAGAATCCCACAGATTAAGGAAAATTAAATATGAATTCATAATCAAGAATGACAACGTAAACAGCAGATGTGGACTGAAGATGACCCACTGTGCCCCGACTTGAAAGAGAACCAAGTAGAACTGCTCTCAGTGAGAACTGTAGATATTTTAAAGCAAAAACTTACAGACAGGTTTTGTATCAGATTAGATACAGTTAATGAGAATGGGTACAGAACCAAGTAGAACTGCTCTCAGTGAAAACTGTAGATATTTTAAAGCAAAACCGTATGGATGGATTTTGTATCAGATTAGACACAGTTAATGAGAGAATGGGTACACCAGACATCAATGTGAAGAAATCATCCAGTGACAGTAAAGGAGGTGAAAAATGTGAAATAGGCGTGAAAAGATGTAAGGACAGAATGAGAACCTTCATAAAATAGGGCTTTGGCCCCCATCCCCAAAGGAGAGAACAGGAGAAGCCTCCTGGGAAGAGAGGATGCCTGAGGACCTCCTGAACTGATGAAGGCACGATTTTTCAGATACAGGAAGCACATGTAGACCAAGCAGAGCGAATGCACAGAAATCCACACCTAGGCAGGCCCTGGGGCATCACAGACCATCAGAGACAAGGAGGAGCCGGGCGCGGTGGCTCACGCCTCTAATCCCAGCATTCCAGGAAGCTGAGGCAGGAGGATCCCCTGAGGTCAGGAGTTTGAGACCAGCCTGGCCAACATGGTGAAACCCCATCTCTACTAAAAATATAAAAATTAGCTGGGCCTGGTGGCACATGTCTAATCCCAGCTACTGGGGTGGCTGAGGCAGGGGAATCATTTGAACCTGGTCGGTGGAGGTTGCAGTGAGCCGAGACTGCATCACTGCACTCCAGCCTGGGTGACAGAGTGAGACTCTGTCTCAAAAAAAAAAAAAAAAAAAAAAAGATAAGGAAGTCTTCGAATCCCCGGAGAGGAAAGCTGGAGAACCACGCTGGATGGTCAGCAGTGAGGCCGACAGCAGATTTCTTACGGCAGGCAGCAGTGGCGGGAGAAGGTGGAAGATCCTCAATGTGCTGGAAAATCACCAACCTAGCACCCTGTGTTGTTCAAGAGTACAAATAAAATAAAAAGGTTTTGGTAAACAAAAAAATGAGAGCTTTTACTGCCCATAGATCTTCACTTCAATATTTTTTAAGGATGTGTTTCAGTAAGAACAAAAATTATAAAAGTAGGGTATAATTTTCAAGAAAGAATGGTAGCCAAAGAAATTAGGAGATGGATGAATCTAAACCGTATGTAAAATAAAAACAGTGCTCAGCCGGGCGCAGTGGGTCACGCCTGTAATCCCAGCACTTTGGGAGGCCAAGGTGGGCGGATCACCTGAGGTCAGGAGTTCAAGACCAGCCTGGTCAACATGGTGAAACCCCATCTCTACTAAAAATACAAAAATTAGCCTGGCATGGTGGTGGGCACCTGTGATCCCAGCTCCTCAGGAGGCAGAGGCAGGAGAATCGCTTGACCCTGGGAGGTGGAGGTTGCAGTGAGGTGAGACTGCACCACGCTCAGCTAATTTTTTGTTTTGTATTTTTATTAGAGATGGGGTTTCACCATGTTGCCCAGACTGGTCTCAAACTCCTGACCTCAGGTGATCCGCCCACCTCGGCCTCCCAAAGTGCTGGGATTACAGGCGGGAGCGCCCAGCCCAGGTTCAGATTTTAATGGTAACTTTGTTAAGTATAGGGTAGGAAAAAAGAGAGATCAAACATAGCTTCCAAAGTATTAGAAAAAGATAAAGAAAAAAAGGTAAATCTCTTTTGTTAATGCAAGAAAGTAGAAAGAAAAGCATTAAAATAAGAAATATTGAGGTATACATTAAGATCAATATAAAATTCCCAGATACTTGGGATGACCACAAATACACAAGAAAAGCACTTCAGTAAGAACAGAAATAATCGGCCTCTCCATCTGCTGGGCTTGCGTGGGTATGTGAATTCCGTCTGTGACTTGTTGGATTTGGGATGTTCTCCACTTAGATTTATTTCCATGAATATGTTTGTGGGAGCCTTTCTGCAGTCAGAGGTATGTGGAAGCCTTTGCCAGTTCAGGGGCGCATGGTGAGAGCAGACCTCACAGTGGGTTTGTTTATGTTTGTTTGTTTTTGAGACAGGGTCTTGCTCTGTCGCCCAGGCTGGAGTGCAGTGGTGTGATCTTGGCTCACTGCAATCTCTGCCTCCTGGGCTCAAGCAGTCCTCCTACCTCAGCCTCCTTGAGTAGCTGAGACCACAGGTGTGCACCATCATGCCCAGCTAATTTTTGTATTTTTTGTAGAGACAGGGTTTTGCCATGTTGCCCAGACTGGTCTCCAACTCCTAGGCTCATGTGATCCTCCTGCCTCAGCCTGCTGGGCTGCTGGGATTACAGGCTGAGCCACCGCACCAGCCACAGTGTTTTCTGATGACCCTGAACCACGGTTTTATTTTCAATTCTTCATTCCTGTTCTCATTCCTTAATGCTGGGTGCCTTCTTGCTGCCCATTTTGAACTCACTGCCAGTGTGTCTCTGCTGTCATCTGATGTGCAGAGCTATAGGTGCTGCGGCGAAGGGTGCAGGTTTGGAGCCGTTTAAACAACCTGGCCCAGCCTCCTCACTCCCTGCTGACCTTGGTCAAGGCTTCAGTCTCTAAACCTCAGCTTTCTCATCTGCAGAGCACAGACAAAACCACCTGCCTTTGAGCTGTCTTATAAAGCCTAAATCAATGCGCACAGCAGGTACACAGCAATGCTTGATAAATTGTTACTATTATTGGGTGAATTTTAGGTTTTTTTTGTTGTTGTTGTTGTTTTGAGACAGAGTCTCTCTGTTGTCCTGGCTGGAGCACAGCAGTGCGATCTTGGCTCACTGCAACCTCCATCTTCTGAGGTTCAAGTGATTCTCGTGCCCCAGCCTCCCAAGTAGCTGGGATTACAGGTGCCTGCCACCACATCCAGCTAATTTTTTTTATTTTTAAGTAGAGATGGGCTTTTGCCATGCTTCCCCAGCTGGTCTTGAACTCCTGGCCTCAAGTGATCCTCCTGTCTCGGCCTCCCAAAGTGCTGGGATTACAGGCTTGAGCCACCGCACCCGTCCAGAATTTTAGATTTTTTTAAATCCGTGGTTGAAAAATAGGCTATGGCTGGCTTACTCATTGTGCTTTAGGGAAGCATGTATTTGAGTGAAGGAAATGATAAAAGGAATTTCATATCGGGCCCAGGCGCCGCCCACCCTGCAAGACAGTTTACAGATGCCTGCCCTGACAGCTGTCTGCAGTTAGCCAGCGTCAGCCGAGGGGTCCTGAGATCCGCTGAAGGCTGCCTTTGCATGCCGACAGCAAGGGAAAAGTGCCACATGTCCCTGGGCTTGCCACAGGTGACCTTTGGATGGGACCATTCTCCAGACAGCGCAGCTCGTCTTTCCAGAACACTCATGGGGAGTGTGCCTGTGTCTGGCTGGCTGTGTGGGCTCCCATTCAGTTCATTCCCCTTCTCCAGCCTTTAGGCATGACCCTAAAGGCAGAGGTCTCAAGCACTTGCCAGGGGTGAGCCAGCGGTGGGGGCGCCCCTGCCAGGGCAGGCCTGCTGTGGGGGCTTGGTCAGCGAGTCTTCTCCCCACACGCAGGATTTCCTCCCGTCCACTGCCTCTGCCCACAGGTGACCTTTCTCTTTTAAAGGAATTGGGGTCCCTTGGTACCCCCACAAACCCTGAGTTCCCTCTCTCCTTTCTGCGTCCTTTCTGCTCGCCTGCATGTGCCTGCAGCATCATGACCGCTGGGAAGACACTTCCCTGCACCTGCACGCTGTCTGCAGGCGTCTCTGGCCATCCTGGGCTGAGCTGCGTGATCTCGGGTAGCGGCCCTTTGTTCACCCGTGCAGGATGTCTTTGGAATTGGTCTCTAGTGTCCTTTATAAATAACTGGTATAAAAGAACCCCGGGCAATGGCCTTGCAGAAAGCCCACACTTCAGAGCTGGGCTGGTGTCCAGCGCGAGAAGCCTGAGGCCGTCCTGAGCTGGAAGCCGCGTCCTGGTTCTGTGGGGCCATCCTTCCCGGACAACTGGCTGGGGGGCACAAGACTCTGGTGGCCGACAAGAGGCCCACCTGCTTGGCCTCCCTCTTGTCCTTCCCCACATGGCCCTCTGAACAGGACTAACTCCCTCTGAGGCCCACGTGTGACAAAGATGCACCGTTCTCACCACGGAACTCTTCAGCCCTGCAGTTCTCCCGAAGGTGAATGAGGGCATCCCAGAGTCCCCATCAGGAGACAGACGATGCTGCGTTCCCAGCAGCCCCAGAGCCCTCCCAGGCGTGCAGGTCTCCTGCCGGCAAACAGATCTCCCGGCACGAGCCCCTCCACACTTCTGGGAAGAGTGTCTTCAGCTCACCAGGCCGGAGCCAGGGGAAGAGACCAAGGGAGGAGGCTCCAAGAACCCCTGGGTGGGGGGGACAAGCACTCAAAGCCAGGACTGGCACCCCTCACATGCCAGCACCCACGGGGTCAGGTGTGCCCTGCTGTCTCTGGGGACCCCGCAGGCCTCTGGCCACCTGCCCAGCAGCAAGCCCCGTCGAGCACCCCCAGCCGGCCTTCCTGGGGGCGGGCTAGGCCTCACATGGCTTTTTTTTAAATATGGAAAACCAGTGTAACCCCAAAGCAAGTTTTAGGAGAAAATATAATTCCTATTACTCTGTCGTCTATAATTCCATTCTGCTCTTAACTCTTCATTTTTTCCCACTGTCTGTTCTGCAGACATACGATGGTTGTTTTCTGCTTCCTAATCATCTAGTGACATTTTTCATCTTCTGCACCTCTCACGGGGCGTGGCTGTGCGGTACTCGGCCACACCAAGGTGCACGTGAGAAGCGTAATTGGGCGTAAAGATCAGCGTCTCCATGCAGAGTGGCGGTTCTCTCCCTTTCTGCTGCTACCTTCCATCTGTCTCCTCCCAACTGTTGCTTAGAGAAAGTTATTGTAATTTCATAAAACGTACTCAGTGTAAGTCATCAAAACTCATGTTTAGCAGAGACTTCCTCTCTGGACAAAAATACTGTAGGTGTCTCCTGTGGGCGCTCCCTGACCATCCCAGGAGGAGGGGTCCTACCAGTGCCAACGCCCTCCCCCTGTCCGCAGAACTGGTCATGCTGCTGGAGTGGTGGTCCTGCACGGAGTGTACACTGTTCACGGACCAGGCCACGGTAGAGCGCTTTGGGAAGGAGCACGCAGTCATCATCCTCAACCACAACTTCGAGATCGACTTCCTCTGTGGGTGGACCATGTGTGAGCGCTTCGGAGTGCTGGGGGTGAGCGGGGACCTGGGGAGGGCCACGGGTGAGCAGGAGGGTCCCGGGGAGGGCCGGGGGTGAGCGGGGACCCAGGGAGGGCCGGGGTGAGCAGGGGGTCCCTGCAGGGCTGGGGGTGGGGTGGTGACTGGGAGTGAGCTGGGCGGGGTCCCAGGAGGGCTGGGGATGAGCAGGGTGGGGTGGTCCTGGGGAGGGCTGGGGGTGAGTGGGGGGTCCCAGGGAGAGGCTAGGGTGAGCACCTTCCAGGGGAGGTGCTGGGAGTGAGCGGCAAGGGTCCTGGGGAGGATCTGGGGGAGTAGGCGGGTGCTGGGGTGAGCAAGAGGGCCCTGGGTGGGGGAGGTACTGGGTGGAGCAGTGGGGGTCCCAGCAGAGGAGCTGGGAGAGCCTTGGGTTTCCCAGGGAAAGGGCTAGGGGAGCAGGGGACTCCCTGAGGAGGTGCCGGGGAGGCCCCTGGGGTCCGAGTCCCTGGGTGTTCCTCCTGGGGCGTCTCTTTGAGCTCGGCAGTGGTGCCTGGCTGGTTGAGGGGCCCTGGCCCGCAGGGCCTCAGCTGTCCCCGAGCTGTGCCCTCCTTTCTCATCATGGCCTTTGCCTTTGAGATGACCCCACCTGCGTCCCTGCAGAACCACTTCCGTTAGCTAAGCTGCCTCAGATGAAACCTAAACTACTCCCCGATGCTGGCAGAAGAATTTCATTGCAGTCAAAGCCCCTGTGTGAGGCAGCACCCCCAGGCCACCCCCCGGAAGCCTGGCAGCCTCTGCATCCGGCTCATCCACCTTCCCTGAGGGCCCTCCCAGCCAAGCCTGAGCCTCAGTTTCCTCATTTCTGGGGCGACCCACTCACCCTCAGAAGCCGGGTCCTGCTTCACAGCAGACCCCCTGAGCCACAAAGCCGTGACTCCTAGAGCGACACCACACAGGAGCTGGGTGCAGCGGGAGCCTGGCCAAGCCCCTGGCCTCTGTCCGACGCTGAAGTGCCAGGTGCCCCTCCTTCTCCTCCCTCCAGAGCTCCAAGGTCCTCGCTAAGAAGGAGCTGCTCTACGTGCCCCTCATCGGCTGGACGTGGTACTTTCTGGAGATTGTGTTCTGCAAGCGGAAGTGGGAGGAGGACCGGGACACCGTGGTCGAAGGGCTGAGGCGCCTGTCGGACTACCCCGAGTACATGTGGGTGAGTGCGCGGAGCAGCCCGATACCCTGCATGCCTGGAGGAGGCCACGCCAACTCCTGATGCACGGCTGCCCACATCCCAGGCTGGGAAACCCCATGAGAGCCTCTGCACATGGGGTGCTGTTTCCATGGGGCCATGACTCCCCCATCTGAGCTGCAGGCGTGGAGGCTTCTCTTGGGCCACCTGCTTGCTACTCGCCGCAATCCCAGCTCTGACCAGGCCATCCTAAGGGGATCTGGCCGGGGGAGGGGGCAGAGCAGGGTGCCCCCAGTGAGCCCTGGCTCTGCCCGCCCTGCTCAGTGTGCATCCCCATTCTTTTTCTGTCCCTTCTTCCTGGTCTGTCTTGGAAAATGGGCTGCCTGTGCTGTTAGCATTTCTGTTTTTTTGTTTTCTTGTTCGTTTTGTTGTGTGTGTTTTTGTGTGTGTGTGTGTGTTTGAAACGGAGTCTCGCTCTGTCGCCCAGGCTGGAGTGCAGTGGTGCAATCTCGGGTCACTGCAACCACCACCTCCCAGATTTAAGCGATTCTCCTGCTTCAGGCTCCCAAGTAGCTGACATTACAGGTGCGTGCCACCACACCTGGCTAATTTTTTGTATTTTTAGTAGAGATGGGGTTTCACCATGTTGGCCAGGCTGGTCTCAAACTCCTGACCTCAGGTGATCCGCCCACCTTGACCTCCCAAAGTGCTGGGATTATAGGCATGAGCCAGCTTGCCAGCCTGCTGTTAGCATTTCTTTTTTTTTGTTTTGAGACAGAGCCTTAGTCTGTCACCCAGGCTAGAGTGCAGTGGCATGATCTCAGCTCACTGCAACCTCTGCCTCCCGGGTTCCAGCAGTTCTCCTCTCTCAGCCTCCAAGTTGCTGGGATTACAGGCACTCACCACCACGACTGGCTAATTTTTGTATTTTCAGTAGAGACGGGGTTTCACCATGTTGGCCAGGCTGGTCTTGAACTCCTGACCTCATGATCCACCCGCCTCGGCCTCCTAAAGTGCTGGGATTACAGGGGTGAGCCACCACGCCCGGCCTGCTGTTAACATTTCTAACTCATGCTGTGGCAAGTCGATGAAACCCTCTCTGTTTTCACACTGCTCAGAGGCTGCTGCCCCAACACACCTTCATGTTTCACTTCTTTCTGGAAAGTTCTTTCTGGAGAGCTCTCCTGTGTGAATGAACGTGTGTGACTGGAGTGCAGACTGTGGCCCTAGAATAAAAGAACCTTTCAGTCATAACCCATGCTGCTCGCTAAAGCGGTTCCAAGATTTCCACAAATTCAGCCACAACCTTTGCTGCCTGTCAGAGAGGCAGGCCTGGCCTGGACATGCACCCACCCCAGCTGCTCTGTGGAGTGACCCTGTCTCCGTGTTGATCCTAGTTTCTCCTGTACTGCGAGGGGACGCGCTTCACGGAGACCAAGCACCGCGTTAGCATGGAGGTGGCGGCTGCTAAGGGGCTTCCTGTCCTCAAGTACCACCTGCTGCCGCGGACCAAGGGCTTCACCACCGCAGTCAAGTGCCTCCGGGGGACAGGTAGGCCCCAGACTGCCCGAGCCGGGGCCACCGCTATGCTCACGGAAAATAGTGATTTCTTTAAAAAAAAAAAAAATGAGTGCATTCCATGTGAAACACAGAAGAACAGAAGTGCAAAAGGAATCAAGTGAGGGGGTCGGCGCCGCAAGGTTCCCGCGTCAGGTTTTGAGGTGATAAAATGCTAATTCATGAGAAACAATTAAAATAATAAAAAATACATAATGCAAAACCTTATGAAGGGAAAATAATCATTATTGTATCTTATTAATCCAAAAGGAGTCAAAATAAAAGAAAGGGACAAAGAACAGAAAACAGCCAGACAGCAGGGTCACACTCACAGCGTCAGTACCCATGGGAAACGTCAGCCACTAAATGCCCTCACCAACAGAGAATGGGGAAAAAAGAGGGGGAAAGAAAACTTAGAGAAGAGGTCCTGGTGTGTTCTCCCCAGGACGGGGCCAGACCCCTCACGCGTTCTCCCCAGGACGGGGCCGGGTCCCAGGTGGAACTTGCTTTTCCCTCTGGCAGTGACCATGCAGCCGCCTGGGCTGGGTCATTCACCCTCCCGTCTCCTCCCACAGTCGCAGCTGTCTATGATGTAACCCTGAACTTCAGAGGAAACAAGAACCCGTCCCTGCTGGGGATCCTCTACGGGAAGAAGTACGAGGCGGACATGTGCGTGAGGTGAGGCCAGACCCTGTGGCTCTCGCGCCGCCCCCCATACCTTCATGAGCTTGCGCTGGGCAGAGGCCAGGAGGGTGGCTGGGTCCAGGCCCCACGTCCCACAGCCCCGCAGGGTGGAACTCACACGGAAGGCCTGTCTGCAGCCCTGCCCTGCTGAGCAGACACAGGAGAGGCCCTGCAGGACTCGTCCGGGGCTTGGGTTGCAGGCCACGGAGAGGACATGGAGACACGGGGGATGTGTGGGGAGACTCACCATTGCCCACGGTGTGTTTCATTCCTTTGGGGAAATCATTGACCTGGCTTTCGAGGCCACCTCCATCCTCTCCTTCTGCCTCCTTGGGAAGCCCCTGTAGTTCCCTCTGTAAGATGCTCTGTCCCTTTGTGGGCTTTGTCTCAAACCCCACTGGGCTCCATAAGTCTCCTGGGGCCCACAGTCACACGACCTGGGGGGCATACGGTGCTGACTTCTCACCGAGGGGTGAAACCCAGGCAGGTCTCTTGGTGGGCAGGACGGGACCACCTGCGGAGCCCCTGGCCTGAAGCAGCGCTGGTGATGGGAGTGGCTTTCTGCTGGCCCTGGTGATGGCAGCCGCAGCACGCGAGGGACCGCAGTGTCTGAAGGAGACAGTGGTGAAGGGAAAGGAAGAGCCTGTTTGATTTTTTTTTTTCTTGGAGACGGAGTTTCACCCCATCGCCCAGGCTGGCATGCAGTGGCTCAATCTTGGCTCACTGCAACCTCCGCCTCCCCGGTTCAAGCAATTCTCCTGTCTCAGCCTCCTGAGTAGCTGGGATTACAGGTGCCCACTACCTCGCCTGGCTAATTTCATATTTTTTTAGTAGAGACAGGGTTTTACCATATTGTCCAGGCTGGACTCGAACTCCTGACCTCAAGTGATCTGCCTGCCTCGGCCTCCCAAAGTGCTGGGATTACAGGTGTGAGCCACCACGTTGGGCCGAAGAGCCTTTTTCAAACCCTGTCTTGAGAGTTGGGGCTTCAGTGCTATGGGGCCCCAGTCCTGTCCCAATGAAATAAAATGGGAGTGGCGTGTCTAGACCCCAGGAGGAGCCTGGGGCTTGCTCTGCAGGGTACCAGCGGCTTTCCTTGGGGCAGTGTGTCTCTTTCCCCACACAGTCAGGGCTGTGGGTGCCGCCACCAATCCGTTGCTGCCCTTGGACTCTCCAAGCTTCTCTGGCTCACATAGAGGAGAAAATCCACCCAGAAATCCTGTTGACTTAAAACACAGGCTGGGGTTGTGACCTTGATTCCAGCACAAATCATCATTTCAGGCAGGCCTTTGAGGCACGAAGAAACCGTGCGCTGGATGGCCCTTGTTGAGCTTGTCAGTCTCTGGTTTCATTCAAGTGTGTGCGGAAAGGCAGGGCCCTCCTTGCCACATGTAAAGCTGCACAGAGCGGTCACTATATGTGTTTCCATATTTGCAATCCAACCACCACCAACTGAGTGTGCGTCCTGATCAGCCGAGCCTGCCCACGGTGGCCACAGGCCCTCTACATTCTAATCTCGAGAGCCTGAGCATGTACAAATTAAACGAAGCAAAACGACACCACCCAGTTCTGGCCGTACTATAGGAGGTTTCCAGGAAGGGTTTGTGAACATAAACATAAGCTAGGTAACACTCCTTTCTGAAGTTCAAGGACTGGCTGATTAGAGGCGGAGGCGTTCTTCTCCCGACCCGGGGTCAGTGGGGCCACGAGCTGAGAGTTCTCTCCCTTATGTGCCTAAAACCCCTGGGAGGGAGCTCTGAGCCACTGTGGACCATGGAGGCTGCGGTGACTGACCGGGGCCCTGGACGGTCCAGATGGCAGGCTGGGACAGGACATGAGAGGGGATGATAGCAGCTGGTGGCCCTGTGCCAGATCCTGGCCACAGCTGGCCTCAGTCATCTTCACGAGAGGAGCCCTTGAGGCACGTCTTGCTCTCATCCTTGGGTGGTTAGTGGTGGCTTGAGGCTGGGTGGTCAGAGTAGCTGTCCAAGGTCAGCACTGGCCATGGAGGAGCCCGGCCACCCGCCAAGCTGCACGGCGCCTCCGCCTCGGGTGCCACACAGCCCCCCACGGAGAGACTCCTCATCCGCCATCCTCCCTGCCGCTGCCTTTATTTTGCCCGATCATATTTTAATAAATACTCGCTTTGAACTTGTAAGGCTTCGGCTGTTCAGGTCACTCACCGCTTCGCTGTTTGAGGAGCAGCAGTGTCCCCGCGCGCCCCTGCAGCCGAGCCATCACAGCGCCAGGCTCCCCACAGCATGGGGCTGGCCCTCTTTCCTCCTGCTTTGGTGGCGATGCCCAGGGCCATGGGGAAGCAGGGCCAATGTGTGCAGGACGGCTGCAGGGCTCTCCTGTCCCCAGGGCTGGCCCCTGGGCCGAGGGCCTTCAAGTGGCTTGAGTCAGCTCCAGGAGGCAGATGCTCAGGGTGACACCCTGGGGTGCAGAAAAAAAATAGAATTTTTATTTATATTTACTTTTTATCTTATTTTTAATTCTTATGTTTATATGTTTCATAATGTATGTAACAGACATACGATAAAACCTGTATGTGGGGCATGTGTGGGTGTGTGTGTGTTCATGTGGGATGTGTATGTGTGGTGTGTATTATGTATGTAGTATATGTGATGTGTGCATGTGTGGTGTACGTATGTGCATTGTGTGTAAATTATGTGTGTGTTGTATATGGGTGTGGTATTTGCAGTATAGTGTGCATATAAATTATCTATGTGTGTATAAATTATATGTGTGTATAAATTATATGTGTGTGGTATGTGTGTAAAAATTTGTATAAATTATATATTCGTGTGGGGTGATGTATGTGGTGTGTGTATAGTGTGGCGTGTGTATAAATTACATATGTGTATGGTGTGTGTGATGTGTGTGTGGTGTGTGAGGTATGGTGTGTGTAAATTATATTTGTGGTGTGTGTTGAACTGTGTGTGGTATGTGTGTATAAATTATAAATGTGCATGTGTGTGCAAAATGGGTGGGTTTGGTGTGTGGGGTATGTGTGGTATAGTGTGTCATGTGGTGTGTGTGTAAATTATATGTGTGTGGTGTGTGTGTAGTGTGTGTATATAAATCGTGAGGGTGGTGTGTGTGTGGTGTGTGTGTATAAATTATGTGTTTGATATGTGTGGTGTGGTGTGTATAAATTATAAATGTGTGTGTGGTGTGTGTATATGAATCAGGGTTGGTGTGTGTGGTGTGTATAAATTGTATGTGTTTGATGTGTGTGGTGTGTACGACATGGGGCTGTGTGTGTCAGGGACCACAGCCAGCCAGTGTGGGCCTCTGGGCAGGCCCCTCCCCTCACTGTAGACAAAGAAGCCTCTGCGCCTCGGTTGTTCCTCACATGGCGTCTGTGGCAAATCCTCCCCATGCCAGTTGAACCTGGGGCCAATGTGAAGCTGCTTTTATTTACTGGGACGTGATGTTGTCTTCATAGCCATCTGCTCACCAGCATGCGGCAGAGGCTTGTGAACACTGCATGTGTGCTGGTGTGTGCTGTGTGCTGTTGTGTACTGGCGTTTGCTGATGTGTGTGTTGTGCACTCGCATGTGATGTGTATGTGCTGGCATGTTGCATGTGCTGGCATGTGCCAGTGTGTGCACTGGTGTGTAGTGTGTGCTGGCATGTGGTATGTGTCGAGGTGTGCTGGTGTGTGGTGGGTGCTGGTGTATGGCATGTGCTAACGTGTGGTGTGTTCTGGTGTGTGCTGGTGTGTGGTAATGTTTTGGTGTGTGCTGGTGTGTGGTGTGTTCTGGTGTGTGCTGGCGTGTGGTATGTTTTGGTGTGTGCTGGCATGTAGTGTGCTGGCGTGTGCTGGCGTGTGGTATGTTCTGGTGTGTGCTGGCATGTGTGTGGCATGTGCTGGCATGTGTCGGTGTGTGCACTGGTGTGTGGTGGGTGCTGGTGTATGACGCATGCTGGCGTGTGCTTGTGTTGCAACGAGACTCAGCTTTCACTTCTGATGGGGTGAGGATCCATAGGTGGAATCCTCATACACCAAAGCTTTGGGTTCCTCAGTTCCTAGACAGAAGTGTGAGGCGCGTGACCCTAGAGCGTGGAGACCTGCCTGGCTGTGGAAACCTCACCCATGGGCCCCGCAGCTCAAGCCTGGTCTTTCCTGCTCTGAGGTGCGTCGTCGCCCCCTCCTGGGCGCTGGGAGCACTGCGGTTGCCCGTGGACAGCAGGTTCCTACCTGTGTATCTTAATTTTGGGTTTTTTTTGTTTGTTTGTTTTCGTTTTTGTTTTTGGCTTACAACGCAGCGATTTGCTTCTCCCTCATAAAGGTCCACGATGAGCCCAGACAGTGCTCGGGGCAGCCCAGCTGTCCCCACCTGGTGGCACGGGGCCGCCCTTCCTTAGCAAAGTGATTCTCTGACGGCCGTCGCAGGGAAGAGGCAGCATTGAGCACCCGCTGTTAAGATGCTCCCTTACGGAAGCGACTTGTGGGAGGCAGGGATGTGTGTTTTTCTTTTCCTTTTTTTTTTTTTTAAGAGAAAACCACATTTTATTTTTGTTAATGTTGAAGTTAATTTTCAATAAAATTTTATAGAAAATGATTTTTATTTTTTTTTTTTGAGACGGAGTCTCGCTCTGTCACCCAGGCTGGAGTGCAGTGGTGCAATTTCATCTCACTGCAACCTCCGCCTTCTGGTTCTAGCAATTCTCCTGTCTCAGCCTCTCGAGTAGCTGGGATTACAGGCGCATTCCACCATGTCTGGCTAATTTTTGTAGTCTTAGTAGAGATGGGGTTTCACCATGTTGGTCAGGCTGGTCTCGAACTCCTGAGCTCGTGATCTGCCTGCCTTGGCCTCTCGAGTAGCTGGGATTACAGGCACATTCCACCACATCTGGCTAATTTTTGTAGTCTTAGTAGAGATGGGGTTTCACCATGTTGGTCAGGCTGGTCTTGAACTCCTGGCCTCGTGGTCTGCCTGCCCCTCGGCTTCCCGAAGTGCTGGGATTACAGGCATGAGCCACTGTGCCCGGCTGAAAATGAATTTAATTTTAATCAGTTTGACTGTAAGGCAAGATTTTATGAATTTCGTATAACTTTCATAATTGTTTTGAATGAAAGAGTACATTCACGTTCTAAGAAAACTCTTCAGACACATGAGCCAAATTTTGTTCTTATATCAGTGTTTTTAATTTTATTGCTTAATTTATATAAACAACCTGTTTATATAAATTAATAGCCTGAATAGCCTGTTTTGAATAGTAGCCAACTTGTTCAGATATGTGTTTTTCTTAACTGCCCAGAGGGAAGGGAGAACTGGGCACCAGTGAAAACAGGTCACGCCTACCTGACGTCTTGCCGTGTGGCTCAGTGACGGGCGCTGTGGACGTGGCAGCCCCTGAATCCCAGCTCCCGTACACACAGTATCACTGCTGCCTTAGTCACCACCGTCATCCTAGCTGGCAAACTTGGTGTTCTTATTAAATTGTAAAAGTATTTAAAAGATTTTAATATATCATATGTGAGCGGCTTACCCTGTGTACTTACTCAAATTCCAACTGACTTTTAAAATAAGAGCTGTAACATGTTACTCATTTAAAATTTTCCGATTAGATTTGTCCAATTAGGTAATTTGTAATTACCCTGCTTATCTTACCAAGTAGAGGTGTCAACTTGTGGGCTGCTAATCCATTTGGTAGATTAGCACTTAATCTTGGTAGATTTAGTATGTAAATAAATGAGTGTCCAGACAGAAATCAGCTATTTCATAATGGAGATGAAAATGCCTACATTTTTAATACTTTTCATATTTGAAGCAAGTGGATTTCATTTGTGAAATAATCTTTGCCTAATGAAAGACACTCTCAGTCATGACTGTCTCTGAAGAATGAACATATTAAGAAAGACCAGAACTCTCGGGAGCGCACACATGACCACCCTTCTCATGGGACCAGGGGCGTGGCCTGCCCGGTTAAATCACTCGTGGGCACCCTGGGGGTTAATGCTGCCGCCACCCTGCACAGAAGGCCACATCCTGGCCTCTCGCCGCCATGCCACGCTGACTGTGTACTCAGGGCGGATGCCTGAGGAGAAGCTCATTTAATGTTTGTTTTTAGAAATTGAGAGTGAGAGGCTGGGCGCAGTGGCTCACGCCTGTAATCCCAGCACTTTGGGAGGCTGAGGCGGGTGGATCACGAGGTCAAGAGATCGAGACCATCCTGGTCAACATGGTGAAACCCCGTCTCTACTAAAAAAAAATACAAAGAAAAAAAATTAGCTGGGCGTGGTGGCGCATGCCTGTAGTCCCAGCTGCTGGGGAGGCTGAGGCAGGAGAATCACTTGAATCCGGGAGGCAGAGGTTGCAGTGAGCAGAGATCGCACCAGTGCTCTCCAGCCTGGCAACAGAGCGAGACTCCATCTCAAAAAAAAAAAAAAGAAAAGAAAAGAAATTGAGAGTGAGATGTGACAGAAGGAGTGGGGCCCATAGGCCACCCTGGCACACGACATGTTCCCCTGTGCCCTCTTTCTAGTGTGAGGTCATGTGGTGATTCACCCTACCTTGAATCTTCTTCATAAAACAGGAGATTTCCTCTGGAAGACATCCCGCTGGATGAAAAGGAAGCAGCTCAGTGGCTTCATAAACTGTACCAGGAGAAGGTAAGCAGGCTCTGCTCCCGCTCAGGGTCCCGGTCTCCTGAAGAGGCTGTGGAAGGGGTGCTGGCGAGCAGGCAGGTGACACGTGGGAACTCCGTGGGAGACAGGAGTGCCACCCAGGTCCTAAATACTCCTGATCCTTCTTTCATTTCTTCTTTCTGTTGTTTTGTTTTGTTTTTGTTTTTGTTTTGTTTTGTTTTCTGAGACAGGGTCTCACTTTGTCACCCAGGCTGGAGTGCAGTGGTGCGATCCTGGCTCACTGCTGCCTTGACCTCCTGGGCTCAAGCGATCCTCCTGCCTCAGCCTCCCGGGTGGCTGGAGCTACAGGCGCAAGCCACCATATTCAGCTAATGATTCAAAAAATGTATCTTTGTAGAAATGAGGTCCCACTATGTTTCCAGGCTGGTATTCAACTCCTGGGCTCAAGCAATCTTCTGGCCTCGGCCTCCCAAAGTGCTGGGATTACAGGCATGAGCCACCACACCTGGTCCCTTCTTCTTAATGTTTGAGAAATTAACAAACTACAGACAAGTATGAAGGGTAACATGATGCCTGTATAATTATGGCTGGTAACATTTGGTCACATTTGTTTCATTTTCTTAAAAGACATTACAGGTATGTAACAGACATAGATGGTCACTAGACTCCTTGTATAACAGAAACAAATTAGGGATGTTAGAGCATTGCTTTGAAAACCACACTCAGTTCTTATTTCTTTCCCCCACGGCTTACTCAGCCCAAGAACTACTTTCTCTTTGTTTTATACGCACAAATGCATGGGGCATTCGATTTCCACTGTCGGCCTTGTGGGAGAGGAGATAACCAGGAAATCCTCCCAGGATGTAAAAAATATCATCGTAAATGCATTGATGGGCTCTCAAGAAAATAAGGGAAATCGGTCGGGTGCTGTGGCTCATGCCTGTAATCCCAGCACTTTGGGAGGCCGAGGTGGGCAGATCACCTGAGGTCAGGAGTTCAAGACCAGCCTGACCAACATGGGTGAAACCCCGTCTCTACTAAAAATACAAAAAATTAGCTGGGCCTGGTGGCGCATGCCTGTAATCCCAGTTACTGGGGAGGCTGAGGCAGGAGAATCGCTTGAACCCAGGAGGTGGGGGTTGCAGGAGCCAGGATCGCCCCATTGCACTGCAGCCTGGGCAACAGAGTGAGACTCCAACTCAAAAAAAAAAAAAAAAAAGAAAGAAAAAAAAAGAAAGAAAAAAAAAAAGGGAAATCTCCAGGACTGAAAAGGGAGGTGGGGCTGAGACTCGGTCCTGGGCCTGGGAGCCAGCAGCACCATGCCCACCTGGTGCTTTCTGCCTGCCCCATCCCCTGAAGTCTCGTGCTGTGATGCCTACATGGAAACAGAAGATAAAGATTTCCCCTCATTCAAGGCGGGACGTTAGAACCAAAAACCCCACATGATGCTGGGACCCTCTAAGAATTGGACCCTCAGGAAGGTTAAACTGGAAAAGAAAATTACCTCCCAGCACAGAGAAATGGCCTTGAAACCTGCCTTTCTCCTCTTGGGCTCAAGAAAGTCTTCCTGGGAATTCATAATTACAGGCCTGTCCTCCAACAGGCTTGAAGTTTGAATTTATACAAACAACATAGTTCAAGAAGCACACAGCCAAAATGTGTGTGCCAGGACACTCGGGGACATTCCGGAGGCAGGGAGCTGGGTGCTCAGGGGTGGCCAGGACACGATGACACCTGCCTTTGCACGGACACAGTGTGTGGCTGGCAGGGGGCACCCCAACCCCAGTTTCCAGCAGGAAGCTGAGAACCATGAAGAGATCAAAGAGATCAACTAGAAAAAATATCTTGAAGCCAGTGAGCTCAGTGATAACAGTCTCCAACCATCTTTAAAAGAGAGCGGGTCGGCCAGGTGTGGTGGCTCACATCTGTAATCCCAGCACTTTGGGAGGCCGAAGTGGGTGGATCACGAGATCAGGAGTTCGAGACAAGCCTGGCCAACATGGTGAAACCCTGTCTCCACTAAAAATACAAAAATTAGCGCAGTAGTGGGCACCTGTAATCCCAGCTACTCAGGAGGCTGAGGCAGGAGAATCGCTTAAACCCGGGAGACAGAGGTTGCAGTGAGCCGAGATCGTACCACTGCACTCCAGCCTGGGCGACAGAGTGAGACTCCATCTCAAAAAAAAAAAAAAAACAAAAAAAAACGAGAGAGTTGATGGTGCCCTTCACTACTTCCCAAGCATCCTAGAGTCCCACGGGCTGCCCCGCCCACGGGCAGTGGCTGCGGAGTGTCTGCTCTATCAGGCATGGTGATTTCCTGCCAGCCTGTGCCTTTGACATTCCCACCAGAGGCAGAACCTTCTGCAGGTGGCCCTGGCCAGGCTCCTCTCTCCTCCCAGCTCCTCATTAGCCTCCTTTGCCAGGCTAGGAAACCGAGGTATGCGAGGTTAAGGAACTTTCCTTGGGCCGTGCAGCTGAGAGTGCGCTTTGCAGGGATTTGCATCCAGGCCGCGGGACTCACACAGGCCACACCTGCCACCCCCACTGCCTCTGGCTCGTGGGAGGTGTGGGATGTGGCGGGTGGCCGGGGCAGTGCTGGGCAGGCAGGTGTTGGTATTCACAACGTTGCTTTCTTGACCGATTATTTTCCTGGGAGACTTCCTCAGTCAAAGGGTTGATATGCTTGCGAGCTCTCGATGCACGCTATCAGATTCTCCAAAAACGTACAGCCAGCTTCGCCTGCACCTGCAGCTTCTGTGATTTGTGCTCTTAATTGACGTGGCGCTTTTTTTAGGTTGAGTCGTTTTTCATTGCCAACAATCTTCTCCTGCATTGAAATAATAGCTTGTAAAGAAGCCTCACGCTTCCTTTTTCTCTGTTGACTCTTCTAGGACGCGCTCCAGGAGATATATAATCAGAAGGGCATGTTTCCAGGGGAGCAGTTTAAGCCTGCCCGGAGGCCGTGGACCCTCCTGAACTTCCTGTCCTGGGCCACCATTCTCCTGTCTCCCCTCTTCAGTTTTGTCTTGGGCGTCTTTGCCAGCGGATCACCTCTCCTGATCCTGACTTTCTTGGGGTTTGTGGGAGCAGGTAATGGACACTGTCGCTAACAGCTCACACTCTGACGGGCCTCACAGTATCAGCCACAGGGTCCGGGACCTGGTGACTCATCACAGTGGCTGTGGGAGGCAGGGGCCTGGCTGTTATGGACCCTGGAGCCAGGATCCCCCCACGGCCTGCGGGCCTCAGAGCCTGGATTCTTGCACTGAGCTGAGGGTCGCCTCCCCAGAGAGCCGAACGGCCGCCACCTGGCGCCATCCCCACTGCAGCCCCACTGGCTGGCGCCCTTGAGGATGCCGACGAGAGGGTCCCCGAGAGGGTCCCCAGCCCCCCTGTCTGCTTTTGGGCTCTTAGGGGTCAGGCTGGGCTGGCCATTCGGGAGGTTTAAGCAGGACATCATCATTCAGCTCCTCCCCATTGACCCCCAGTGACTTCCCCACTGTGTGCCCACCCCAGGCACAATGCCAGGCCCACCACGACTCATCAGCTAGCCTGGGGCCGAACAGACACCCAGCCTGTCCCTGTGGTGAGCTCCGGCGCCCACCCACACCCCGTAATTGAGGGGTCTCTGTCCGTGGAGACACAGTCCGTGTGCATCGCCCCGTGAGCCGACTCCCCAGGCCCAGCAGCTGGGCCAGCTCCTCCCCTGCTCCTGCCGCCCCTGCCAGGGGCCTTGGTGGGAGGGGTCCTGAGAGGCAGTGACTGCCACCAGCCTCTCCCATTGGACTACGAGATGACTTGAGGCCACCCACAGAGGACAGGATGTGACCTGCTTACATCCGAGGGTCCTGCTCGTCCACCTCTGTCACCTGTTGGGTTTGCAAGGCCGAGCTGTTAGAATGCCCCGAAGCCCTTCTGCTCCCACCAGCCAAAGACCCAGAGGGGCAGGCAGGGCAAGGTCCACGTGTCCACCTGCCTCGGACCCAGCCGGTCAGAAGACGTGCCCCTCACCCCTGCCTGAGCAGACCACGGTCTGAGAGGGCTGTCTCCCCGCGGGCCACACCTACTCACTGACAGCAGAGGCCACTGGGTGCGGGGCAGAGGGACAGGGTCTGGGGCAGAGGAAGGAAGCCCCAGTAACACGTTTTACAGCAAAAAGGCAAAGTCATCCGTCTCACCTCTTCTCTCTCTCTCCTGTCTTGAAAGCTTCCTTTGGAGTTCGCAGACTGATAGGAGTAACTGAGATAGAAAAAGGCTCCAGCTACGGAAACCAAGAGTTTAAGAAAAAGGAATAATTAATGGCTGTGACTGAACACACGCGGCCCTGACGGTGGTATCCAGTTAACTCAAAACCAACACACAGAGTGCAGGAAAAGACAATTAGAAACTATTTTTCTTATTAACTGGTGACTAATATTAACAAAACTTGAGCCAAGAGTAAAGAATTCAGAAGGCCTGTCAGGTGAAGTCTTCAGCCTCCCACAGCGCAGGGTCCCAGCATCTCCACGCGCGCCCGTGGGAGGTGGGTCCGGCCGGAGAGGCCTCCCGCGGACGCCGTCTCTCCAGAACTCCGCTTCCAAGAGGGAGCCTTTGGCTGCTTTCTCTCCTTAAACTTAGATCAAATTTTTTGGTTTTTAATCAGTTATCTTGGGAACTTAACCTGGCCCCTCACCTCTTCTGCACCCCCCGCCCCCGAAACTGTCTCGTAATGAATTTCTGCTGTCCTCCTGGGAGTGGACGGCCGGGTCCCGTCCCCCGGGAGCATCGCTCGGCTCAGCACCTTGGCTCCCAGTGGGGGCCCCGTGGAGGGCGCCCGTAGTGATAAGCACACCGGCACGAACGTCAGGTCCATTCCTCGAAGTCGGAGCCCTCACTCTGCCCTGTCCTGGGGCTGGCTGAGGGCGAACGCCCCACCTCACTTTCTAGAGCCCTGTCTGTCCTAGCTCCTATCTGACCTTGTGTGTAAATACGTACATCTGTTTTTAAAGTGGATGGGCCCCTGAGAACTCAGTGAAATGCAGAGTTCTCCATGCACCTAAAGCTCCTTTGTCGCTCTCATGGCTGTCAGATCCTGGTCCCTCCACACTGGGTGCTGGGGAGGGAGGACCCTCGGGGCTACCGCGCGCCCCCCCATCCCACAGATCAGGAGCCAAGGAGGGAGAACAGGGCAGCCTGTGGGACTCTAGGATGCTTCAGAAGAAGCGACGGCACCGTCAACCCTCTGTTTTTTAAAGGTGGTTGGAGACTGTTAACACTGAGCTCATTGACTTCTAGAGATTTTATTTTTACTGGTTGATCTCTTGGTGGTTTTCAACTTCCTGCTGGAAACTAGAGGTGGGGCACCCCCCACCCCCCAGCCTCGCACTGTGTCCTTGGGGAAGGCCCGCCCCCATCCTGGCCGGTGTCACTGTGGCCCGGCCACCCCTGAGCGCCCAGCTCCCTACCTCCTGGACGTCTCTGAGAGTCCAGGCAGAGCAGAGGGCAGCGCTCGGCCGGTCATGCTGGCTCCCTTGGCCTTGCAGCGAGCCCCTGGCCCACGCCGAGCGAGGGATGCTTCTCCCTACAGCATGTCCACTCCCCCGGCATGGCCAGGTGGGGCCCCTGGGGCAATGGCAGTGGTAGAACGCTCAACTTGGTTGCGGTACCATCAGCCCACCTGCATTTGGCTTTCGACTTGCTTGTTCTAAGTCACAGCGCCCTCATCTTTTTAGCAAGGTAAAAAAACCAAAATGGGTGTTATCTCTGATATCTTGAAACCAGCGTTCTGAATAGAGGTAGGTTGAGTTTTCTAGGGGAAAACAAATGGAGAAAAGAGGCATGAAGAAAAGTAAACCGAGAACATAATTAGGCATCGGGCCTAAGTGTCCTGGGGAGATTGGAGGGGACGGCAGCGTTCTGCATGATGGAGGCGCTGCCGGGCCCCGGGTCTGTGGGGGCCGTGCTCTCAGGGCGTGTGCGGGACGCCACCTGTGCACACCTGCTCAGAGCACGGCTCCTCGCAGGGGTGAAGGGGCAGACCAACGAAACCAGATGAGACCAACGACACCATGCGAGACACGCTTGCAGACACTGTTGTTTTGGAAATGTGCTTCCCTCCATCTGAAATCTCATCCCTCCACCCGCCCACTCGGGCAGCTGTGCCGTGGGCAGGGCATGCGCTCCCCTGGCTGAGCACCCCAGAGATTCTCCTGCACCTTCCTCATGCCGCACGCTGCTCATCCGTCTCCATGTGTGTTTAGATCCATGCCATTCACTGACTCACTAACACCTGCAAAATCTTTAAGGAAAAAAGCTGAAGGGTACGACCATGCACATATGTGACCTGGAAAATGCAAATTTAGATCTTTTATGATTTAATTATTATTGTTTCCCATAGAAGTTCCCTCCCTTTGAAATTAATATATAATGTATAAATTCTGCACTGAGCCATGGCGGAGCTGGGCAGCCCCTAGGTTAGAGTGGAGACGGAGGCCCAGGCGCAGGGGTCACACCTCATCTGGTTTCCTTCCCATCTCACAGCTTAGCTTGTGCTTCTCAACACCAAGTCTTTAAGAGCAATAAAAACTACACCATGAATGTTTGAATTTTTTTTTTTTGGGGGGGGGAGGGTGGATTTTGCTTTTCATCCAGAAGGAAAAGGGGAGGAGAGCTCCTTTACATTTTTTAAATTAAATTCATAAATCCCAGAACAGTCTTTTTTTTTTCTTTTTCCTTTACACCCTACTTCTGAGCTTAATTCAGTTGATGTTATGTCCAAATTCAGGCTGAGTGCTCAGGCTGAAGCAACTCTGTAGCCCACAGTCCGTGCTGGCCACTGTCGGGGTGAGGCACATTCTAGGCCTGGCATCGCTGATGCCCTCTGCACCCAGTCCTTGAGCCAGGCCGAGGACAGGAAGGGCATTGCTGGCCTGTAGCTCCTGTTACCCACCCAGAGCCAGGCGCCACACTGGAGGCTCCCAGGCGGGAGGGCCCAGGCCCACCCACGGGCGTCTGGCCGGTCAAGCTCCCAGCCTGGGCCGTGGTCTCCTGGGGACGCCGCTGGCCTCCCAGCTTAGGCCCAGGTGCCAGGTGTCATGGGGTCTCCTGCCCATCTTCCCAAGGATGCCATTGCTGTCTTCATCGTCTTCCCCCGTGTGAGACACTGGTTGTCTGGTACTCGGCGACAGTGTACCAGACGCGCACCCTATGTGAGGTGCTTTAAGGTCCCTGTCCTCAGGAAGCGCAGTCTGGTGGAAGAGATGAGCGCTGAACAAATCACTAAATAACACAAAACAACAATGTAAGCAGCACTTTCTTGTGTAAAAAAAAAAAAAAAGCACGTCCTGTCGATGAATTTTGAGTCTCTCTGCCTTGCCTGTCCCGACTCCCTTTCGCGCACCGTGGCATGAGAATCTTTCCTCACGCTGTTCGTTGCGGTATTGCTGAGCATTGATGTTGATTTGAAGGAAAAGCCGTGGTTGGACCCAGCTGTGTGTTTCACTCACGTGCAATTGAGTAGCTGTTGCCAGGCTGTCCATGCCTGTTGTGACTACCGGTTGGGGTCAGATTTGGGGTGAAGAATGAGTAAGTTTCTGCATGCTTTGTCTCTACCTGAGACACTTCTACAACAAGCCAAGTATAATCTCTCCAGCCCTGCAGATTTTCACCTGACTTGTTCAGCCCCATGCGTAGACTCCCGCTGCAGGCCTCTGGCCTGTGGCTCACTGCATGCAGCCCCTGGCGTGCAATACTAGTGCTCCACGGCGCGATGTGCTTCTAGCCCTTGCACTGCACCTAGGCTCAGGGTTCAAACGGCCAGCCCGAAAAGCCTGCCTGCCTTCTTTCTGGAAACAGCACGTCCCCGGCCGTGTGCCTGCCCCTTTCTCTACTGAGCTAGTCCCCAAACCAAAGGCAAGCCCCCTCGGGCCTCGGGGGATGGGGCCGGCCACACCCCTGACTCCGCCCTGGCTCTGCCCCATACCCCTGCCGTGGGGCCGACCTGGGGGATGCAGACATCCGGCTCCGTATTCCTGCCTATCGGGGCCAGGATGCAAAAACAATTTTTGCGTAAAAGATGTCACACTGATCTGCTGGAGTGGGGTGGACACATGAATTCAGTTTTATCATGAACACTCGCCACTGGCTGCTTGTTAATTCAGGGATAATGGTGGCATTCTTACAAACTGCTCGGGAAATAGAATGACGGGAACACTTTTAGGGAGCCCAGGAAGTTACCAGGGACATTGGTGTCGCCGGCCCAGGCAACAGCAGCGTACGCTTTTCAAAGATCATTGAGTTGTCTTAGAATTTGAAGCTGTGTAATGACAATGTCACCTGGAGTTCGTCTCCATTTCTTAACTTTTTGTTGCACAAGTATTTGGACAGAAGTCGAACTGTGAATGAGATACTGAAATGCACTAAATTGTATTACATTAAACTGGAGTTACTTGATACAATGAAGAAATGCATCTGATCTACTTGTATTTATTGTCTCAGAATTGTACGTTGTGACAATCAAATGTTACTTGCCTAAATGCCAGGAAATTCAACTGGCCTTTTAATCAGCAAGATCGCCAGCAAGTACTGTAACTGTAAAGGAAAATCTCTCTCTCTGGAGAACCCACACAAACCATTGACCTGAGTGCGCATGACAGCCACTGGCTTCTTTTTCTATGATTGAAAATCTGCCATCGCTGACTGTTGGCCAGTTTCAAAGGGACCCATTGTATACAGGGTGCAAATGTATTATACGGATGTTTCCTTTTGTACACTTCATTTTTACAAGTTTTGCTACTCACAAGCTTTATGTAGTGGAGGATAGAGGTATTTTTGGTCTTTAGAAGCTTGTCGGGGTGAGGGCTGCTAACTTACACTTCAGAGGCCTGTGTCCCAAAGGCCTGGCTGCGTTTGCCGTGCTGTGCGAGGACCTGTGTACACAGGCAGGTGTGCGCCTGCCCGAGCGCGAGTAGCTCTTGTGTAGTGGTGAAATGCTGCAGGCATCTGTTTATTAAAATTGCTGCTGTGAAAGACAGGGATAAAATATCCACAATATAAGAGAAAGCGACTCCGTGCCTCCTTCTGTTTCTTCGTTTCCAGTCTGCATAGATGTCTCCAAGGGGAAACCAGGGCCACCAGGCACTCCTGTCCCATGGGGCCACCCACCTTCAGAGCCCACTCCCACGGGCTCTGTTTCCTTGGAGGCCATCCTGCCGATGGCACTTTTCAAGGCCCTCCCTTCCCTACGAGTTGCTTTCTGGGAGGGGAAATTGAAAAGGAGAGCGGTCACCTGGCAAAAACACAGGGGAAATCAGCCAGTCCACAAAAATACGCAAAATGACCTGATGATGTCCAAAAAAGGGTTTTAAAAGCGATCAAGGACAAAAGGTTTTCCTAAGTGGCATGTATACATCCAAAACTACTCTTTTTTTGTAAAAACATTCATCTGTGGAGAAAACCAAGGAACCCCTTTCTCTTCTTTATTAAAAAGCAAAACAAAAACTCTTGTTAGAACCAAAAGATATTCCGAGTTCTCGTTTCGTGTCTTCTAAAAATAAGCTAAGCTGAAGAGTCTGGGTGTCCACATGCTCCTGGGAATGGCCCTGGCAACCTTGGTGACATGCTCTCTGCTCCGGGGCTGCCTCCTTCCCTAATGGCATCAGTGAGGGTGACAGGTCCATGCTGGTGCTTAGCCCAGCTCCTGAGAAGCTGGGAAGGCCTGGCTCAAAGTCCTGCGTCCAGATGCCATTTATTTTTTAAAATATATCCTGAAGTCAGAGCACCCAGAATTTTGCATGATGTTCTGTTGTTTTCTCGGGAGATGAAAGTGAAGTGCCTGGTGCCACTTGGTATGGGGATGTCATGGGTGGGTCAGGCCTTGCCCTCTAACAAGAGGGACTGACTTGCCTGAACCCCACTTCGCCTGTTTGAACACAAGTGCTCACGGGCACTGGGGGGCAGCCATGCAGACCCCTTCGGACTTCATCACCCCCAGCATCACAGGCATCTGGCTCACCCAGGAGAGGGGCCAAGGTTAACCATGAGGCCCATTGCCTGCCTTTATTGGCCCAGATCCCACCTCCGCTTCACCCAGAAGCTCAGTACGTAGGAGTCAGTCCCTGCCACCTGACATTCTGGGACATGTGAGTGTGTACACATGTGCATGCATGCACACACCATGTGTGTGGGGACCTTCATAGCCATACGCATGCACACATGTACACACGTCCCAGCACACACACGGGCACACCTGAAGAATAAGGGGCAGCGTTAGGAAGTGGGCTTGGGAAACCATCCTCTTCATGTCTCTTCTTGTTTGTTTGTTTGTTTTTGAGACGGAGTTTCGCTCTGTCACCCAGGCTGTGGAGTACAATGGTGTGATCTTGGATCACCGCAACCTCTGCTTCCCGGGTTCAAGCGATTCTCCTGCTTCAGCCTCCCAAGTAGCTGGGATTACAGGCACCTGCCACCATGCCCAGCTAATTATGTATTTTTGGTAGAGACAGGGTTTCTCCATGTTGGTCAGGCTGGTCTCGAACTCCTGACCTCAGGTGATCCACCTGCCTCGGCCTCCCCAAGTGCTTGGAATACAGGCGTGAGCCACCACAGCTGGCCTTCTTCACGTCTCTTCTGAGCATAGTGCCTGAGAACCCGGAATTGTCCAGGTGGCTCACACAGCAGCAGGGTTCATGGAGATAAAAGCCCTTCTTGAAGAAAGTGGCCCCCCAGGGCTAAGGAACTTGATGAAGAAACCAAACAGTCCCGTGACGTCTTAGCAAGCTAGCAACGTGGCCTGAGCTTTGCTTTGCTGTTGGATGTGAGCTCTTCCACTGCAGGCGGCCTGCACCTGGGCTGGGCAGGAACAAGTCCAACCGCAGGTACCCTGGACGTGAGCCTTGATCGTCCCACGTGTGGCCAGGGGGCCTGTGAGGGTGCACGTGCACACACATGCACACACAGACACACACGTGCACGTACACCAGCAGGTGCATGCCCTGCCGCTGAACCCCTGGGGGAGGGACAGGCCCAGTCACAGGGGCAGGCACCAGAGGACAAGGCCACGGAGGGCTCCGCATGGCTTCGGCTGCTGCCCTGCAGTCGGTCCCAGCCTCATAGCACTTGCCAGGTGGAGCCGCTCCGAAGTCTTAGGATCCAGGGATGGGAAATGCCAGCAAGGTCACATGTGTGACCTCACTTCACAGCTGCTGGCGCAGCCTCTGCTTGAACCCAGCCAGATCCCAGCGTGCCTCTACTGTCTGAATTGGCCCATTCCATCGATCACAGATGGGGAGCACAAGTGTGTTTCCGTGGGACAGTGTGTTACGGGGGAGGCTTGGATTTGGGGGTCTGGAGGCCTCTAGATGAAAACCCAAAACTCACTCCTTAGGACCTGTGTGGCCCAGGCCAAGAAGGTTCTTAGCCTCCATGCCCTTCCGTGTTCTAGCCTGTAAGGTGGGGATGGTCATCAGGACGATCAGCGTACCTCCTGGGCTTAGGCCGTGACAGGTGCTCAGCAAGTGGCTACTGTCCCGGCAGACCCGGGGGCATCCCAAACCTGCATCTGTCCTGGGCCCTGCCTGTGCCAGCATGGAGGGGAGGGGCTGTGGTAGTGGCCTTTGCTTCCTCTCCCCTTGGAACCTTTCATGAGCCCCCAGTGTCTCCTCCTCCCCATCATTCATCTTTTCCTGTCACTTCTTTCTTTTTTTTTTTTTTTTTTTTGAGACGGAGTCTCGCTCTGTCCCCCAGGCTGGAGTACAGTGGCGCAATCTCGGCTCACTGCAAGCTCCACCTCCCGGGTTCAAGCCATTCTCCTGTCTCAGCCTCCCGAGTAGCTGGGACTACAGGCGCCTGCCACCATGCCCAGCTAATTTTTTGTATTTTTAGTAGAGACGGGGTTTCACCATGTTAGCCAGGATGGTTTCAATCTCCTGACCTCGTGATCCACCCACCTCGGCCTCCCAAAGTGCTGGGATTACAGGCGTGAGCCACTGCGCCTGGCCTCCTGTCACTTCTTAAATCCTTTTGGTCTGGGTGCAGTGGTTCACACCTGTAAGCCTCACACTTTGGGAGGCCAAGGCAGAGGATCACTTGAGCCTAGGAGTTCAAGACCAGTCTGGGCAACATAGCAAGACCCCATTTCTAAAAAAAAAAAAAAAAATTTTTTTTTTAATTGGCCAGAAACTGTGGCTCATGCCTGTAATACCAGCACTTTGGGAGGCTGAGGTGGGAGGATCACTTGAGCCTAGGATTTCAAGACCAGCCTGGGCAACATAGCAAGACCCCATCTCTACAAAACAAAAATTTTTTTTTAATTGGCTGGGCACCGTGGCTCATGCCTGTAATCCCAGCACTTTGGGAGGCCGAGATGGGAGGATCACTTGAGCTCAGGAGTTCGAGACCAGCTCAGGCAACATGGTGAGACCCCATCTCTACTAAAAATATATATATATGGCTGGGCATGGTGGCTCATGCCTGTAATCCCAGCATTTTGGGAGCAGAGGTGGACAAATCACCTGAGGTCACGAATTTGAGACCAGCCTGGCCAACATGGTGAAACCCCATCTCTACTGAAAATACAAAAATTCGCCAGGCATGGTGGTGGGAGCCTGTAATTCCAGCTACTCGGGAGGCTGAGGCAGGAGAATCGCTTGAACCTGGGAGGTGGAGGTTGCAGTGAGCTGAGATTGCACTACTGCACTCCGGCCTGGGCCTCAGAATGATACACCATCTCAAAAATAAATAAATTACATATATATATACATACATATATATACATATATACATATACATATATACATATATACACACATATATACATATATACACATATATACACATATATACATATATGTGTGTGTGTGTGTGTGTATGTATGTATATATATATATATATATATATATATATATATATATATATAAAAAATAGCTGGGCATAATGGTGCACACCTATGGTCCCAGCTACTTGGGAGACCGAGATGGGAGGATTACTTGAACCCAGGGGGCGGAGTTTGCAGTAAGCCAAGATTGTGCCGCTGCACTTCAGCCTGGGTGACAGAGCAAGATCCTGTCTCAGAAACAAAAAATCCACCAGGTGTGGTGGCGTGCACCTGTAGTCCCATCTACTTGAGAGGCTGAGGTGGGAGGATCACTTGAGCCCAGGAGGTTGAGGCTGCAGTGAGCCATGATCGTGCCACTGCGCTCCAGCCTGGGCAACACAGTGAAATTCTATCTCAAAAAAAGAAAATCACCCCTTTTTGCTGGGCTGGGCCTCCTTTGCGAGTGCAGTGCGGTTCATCCCTTAGCATCTCTGAGGTGTGTGCCCCGCCGTGTCCCTCCACACCGCTGTGACACTGCTGCTCTTCTGCAGAGTTGATAGCACGGGGCATGGTGACCGACGTCATCCCCCCCAGTAAAGGCGCACGAGGAGGGCGGGCTCCTGACCGGCCTCAGCAGGACTGTGTCCACCAGAGCAACACACCCAAAGCCAGGGTTCTGGCTGCAGCTCCTCAGACCAGTGGGAGGTCATTAGACCCGCAGGAGCGCACGTGACTCCGGGAAGTGGGATGGGACCGTGTTGCCGGAAAAGCCGGATGAGCAAAGGCGGGCAAGCCCAAGGTGTTCAGACCCGGCCGGAGAGGTGGGAGACGGGGAACACGGCAGCTGCACAGCTCTCCCGGGGAGAGTCCGCGTGTGGTGGGAGGGACCCAGCCCGACTCCCTAGGAGCTGGTTTTCATGTTTGGGGCCCACGAAGACCTTGAGCTGCCTTCAGGAAGGATTGTCACGCGGGGCAGGGTGTGTAAGCAGATGAGCTGCGCTGTGCCAGCCTGTGCTCCTCTGCCCACGCAGCAGGCCGTACATTCCGCACCCGGGATGCCTGGGACGCCCACAGGCCTTGGCCAGGCTCGGCTTGTGGAGTGCAGAGCAAGGGCTGGTGGAGCTCCTCGGGCGCTTGGAGCCAGGGAGTGTGCGCAGTGGCAAGGGGGGACCTTAGAGACAAGCAAATGCTAAATGATCTGAAATCGGGATTGGAGATGGGGCAGGGGAGAGTCGGCTCTAGACAGGCATGTCCAGCCTGTTTGCAAAACCCCTGCAAGATCTAAGGACATCCAGGGGACAGACATCGTGAGCATGGGGTTCGGCTCCCATGTGCCTCTTGTCATGGAGGGACTTGAAGTCCTGAGCTATGCCAGAGGTCAGAGGACCTAGAAGGACCCACGGCATGTCTGTCCTGGGTGCCTGCAGAGCTGGGTGGGCCTTGCCCGCAGTGTGTCCGGGAAGGGGCTGCAGAACTGGGTGGGCCTTGCCCGCAGTGTGTCTGGGAAGGGGCTGTACACCTGTCCCCATGGCTTCCCTTCAGCTTCTCTGCGATTCTCAGTCGCCCGTCGGGACCAGAAGGGATTCTAGAGCATACTTTCCCCTCAAGCAGTTGTTTGTTTGTTTGTTTTTTGGAGACAGAATCTCGCTCTGTCTCCCAGGCTGGAGTGCAGTGGCGTGATCTCAGCTCACTGCAACCTCCGCCTCTTGGGTTCAAGCGATTCTTCTGCCTCAGCCTCCCAAGTAGCTAGGATTACAGGCACGCACCACCATGCCCGGGTAATTTTTTTTTTTAGTAGAGACGGGGGTTTCACCATGTTGGCCAGGCTGGTCTCGAACTCCTGACCCCTCAGGTGATCCACCCACCTCGGCCTTCCAAAGCGCTGGGATTACAGGCGTGGTCACCGTGCCTGGCTCAAGCAGCTTTTAAATGCAGGACTTCCGCCCCCGAAATTCCAACTCACACAGCTGTAATTACATGGTCAGTTCCACCTGCCCAGGACTTTATACGAAACCTGACCCCCCTCGGCCGGGCGCGGTGGCTCATGCCTGTAATCCCAGCACTTTGGGAGGCCAAGGAGGGTGGATCACGAGGTCAGGAGATTGAGACCATCCTGGCTAACACGGTGAAATCCCGTCTCTACTAAAAATACAAAAAATTAGCCGGGCGTGGTGGCAGGCGCCTGTAGTCCCAGCTACTTGGGAGGCTGAGGCAGGAGAATGGTGTGAATGCGGGAGGCGGAGCTTGCAGTGAGCCGAGATAGCGCCACTGCACCCCGGCCTGGGCGAAAGAGTGAGACTCCGTCTCAAAAAAAAAGAAACCTGACCCCCCTCAGGCTGGTCCAAAGCCATCGGATGTACCCTCTCCTCAGAACAAACAGGAAGGTGGCTGCCACTTCCAGCGGCTTCACGGCAGAGCTTGTGCAATCGCAGGACACAGCCTGGATGGCCGAAGACAGCAGGGCAGCTGTGAACGGTCTATGCCATGTCTCCTGCCCAAACCCTTTTCTGCTGCTCCCAACCAGAAAATAAGGATGGAGACAGCCTGCAGCCCCTCCTTTGCCAGTGAAAGATCTGGTGGGGAGGCGTGGGGTCTCTGGGGGTCGGGGGGACAGGTATGACGATGCTGGTGCCCATCTCTCTGGGGCATTCCGCCCCCTTTGGACTTCATTGTCCCTGCTGTGTCACCAGGGGCCCTGCCACACCCTGCCTCCGAGTGTGTGGGGTCTGTACCTGCTTTGCCCCCACTGGCCGCTTTCTCCAGGACAGCCATGAACATCTCCAGTGTCCTCGGAGCAAGGAAGGAATGCTTCCTGGAGCAGAAGTGGCCACAATGACGCTAGGTCAGCAGATGGCCGCAGAGGCCTGGGCAGTGACCGGTCGGAGAACAAAGCCTGAGGTGTTCCCAGGCCGGTTTCCACGGGAGTCTTGGCAGTGACCCGTGCACGGAGGAGACGCGTGCCTTCCTGGCCCCCCAGTTTGGATTCCTGGTGCCTCTAAGGTCTGCTGATGGCAGAGCTGCACCCGGGTGAGCACAACCCAGGATGGGGTAGGGGGTGGCTCTTCACATTCCCTGTCCTCAGTGACAGAAACTCACTTTTATTATCCTAAACTCTGTTTTTGCTTAGAATTTGGGGCAACTTGCCCTGAAATAACCCTTCCCTTGTCCTTGGGATGAGGGGACTCTGTCCTCAGGGCATAATCATGTAGAAATAGGTCATCCTGCAGGTCCCCCCAGGAAATTCCTGAGAGGAAAGAGGGAACCCACTTTGAGCTGCCTGGGTCATTCCTCCAGCACGTCCCCTCCCAGCCCCAGCCTGCGCTGGAGACTGGTCTGAGTTCAAAGGCCGCGCCTTCTTCAGAGAACAGCCACTGCTGGCAGAGTCAGGCGTCCCATCCCCTCCAAGACAGCTGGGTTCCCTGGGGCTGTGGGAAGGCGGGTGTGGGGAGATGACCAGCGGTTTCTGGTCCTGTGTGCCCAGCCCCTATCAGCCCACAGAGCCTCACCGTGGTGTCTCCCCTGCCCACCAGCACACGGAGGGAGCAGGAAGGGATGCCTGCCAGAGGCTTCGCCCTTAGTCGGGGAAGGAAGTGATCCCATTCCATCTTCTGGTCCGAAGCCTTTTCCTTCTTCAGGGTGGGCCTGTCCACACCCGCCCCCGAGGTGGCTCTTCCGTCTCTCCCGCAGGTGCAGGTGGGACCCACAGGCTGCAGAGTCAGACCTGAGGGAAAATCCCGACTTCAGAAGTCATTTCTCAGCCTCCTCATCAGAAAATGAAAACCCAAACCAAAAGCTCCCCAGAAGGCTGAGGGAAAGGAGCCGGGCTCCCATCCGACAACTCACTGGGCCATAAGCACAACCTGGGGTGTGGGGAGAAGCCACAGCTCTGCCCTGGGGGTCTCCAGGGTACCTGGGCCAGAAGCCTGCAGTGGCGGCCCGGACAGTGGGGGCCCAGGCAGCGGTTCACGAGGAGACCTTGGATGAGAGCTTGTCCCTTCCTTTCTGCAGCAGCCACTAAGGAAGGCGCAGAGGGACTGGGTATGGTGGCTGACACCTGTAATCCCAGCACTTTCGGACGCTGAGGCAGGAGGATCTCCTGAGGCCAGGAGTTCAAGACCAGCCTGGGCAACATGGTGAAACCCTGTCTCTACAAAAATAAAAAAATTGGCTGGGCACAGTGCCTAATGCCTGTAATCCCAGCACTTTGGGAAGCTGAGGCAGGTGGATCACCTGAGGTCAGGAGTTCGAGACCAGCCTGACCAACATGGAGAAACCCTGTCTCTATTAAAAATGCAAAATCGGCCAGGCATGGTGGCACATGCCTGTAATCCCAGCTAATTGGGAGGCTGAGGCAGGAGAATCGCTTGAACCCGGGAGGCAGGGGTTGCGGTGAGCCAAGATCGTGCCACTGCACTCCAGCCTGGGCAACAAGAGCGAAACTCTGTCTCAAAAAAAAAAAAAAAAAAATTAGCCTGGCATGGTTGTGCATACCTGTAGTCCCAGCTACTCGGGAGGATGAAGTGAGAGGATCGCTTGAGCCCAGGAGTTCAAGGCTGCATGAACCACAAATGTGCCACTGTACCCCAGCCCACACAATGGAGTGAGACCCTGTCTTAAAATAAGAATAGCAATAACAATAAAAAGGAACAGAGACAAAGCCACACGGTGCTCTCTGACTGCCGAGTCCCAGGACTTGGTACAAAATTGCGAGGGATCTTTGAAACTCCCAACAGCAGCCCACATGCTACCCGATGAGGAAGCCGGGGACCAGACCAAGGACACTGACCATGCCCAAGCCGGGGACCAGACCAAGGACACTGACCATGCCCAAGCCAGGGACCAGACCAAGGACACTGACCATGCCCAAGCCGTCCAGCTAGTTCAGAGTCAAGTGGAAATAACCAGGGCGGGAGCACAGAGAGCCACATCCCAGTGGCTCCAGATCCTGGTGTCGGACAGCTGGGTGCTTGGGGAACTGCCGTTCATTCACAGGGCTTTGCGGCTGAGCTCAGAACTTGATCTTGACTTTGATGGGTGGAAGGAATGTGAGTGCCTGGATTAAAGCGGATTGTCACGTAGGCCACAGGATTCACGTGGGTAGAGACCCCTGGGCAGCAAGGAGCAGCCTCCAGCCCAAGTTAAGGCGTGGAGACAGTGAGCTGGGCGTGCCATCCGCGTGTGCCATCCTCAAAACCCAGCAAGTGCTCCCTCCTGACCTCAAGTGATCCACTCGCTTCGGCCTCCCAAAATGCTGGGATTACAGGCGTGAGCCACTAACTACCCTCAGCAAGGTTTCCAGTTTTTTGATGTATGCATTTATTGTTATTAACTTACCTCTTAATGCGTCTACTGTGTCCCAGAAGTTTTGGCACATTGTGTTTCTATTTTTGTTTGTTTCAAGGAATTTAATATTTTTAAAAGTTTTTTCATTGTTAAAAATATGGATCACTTCATGAATTTGCACGTTTCCTTGCAGGGGTCATGCTAATCTTCTCTATCATTTCCACTTTAGGATATTGCCACGGTTTCTACAGGACTGAACAAAGGGGGACCAACGCAGAAATGAAAACTTAAAACAAAAGTAAGTATTTTAAAGGAAGGGGCCAGGGGAAGAAGAAGAGCACTCGCAGCTTCCGGTGAGCATGAACAGCACCTGAGCTTCCACAGCCCTTCCTATTTGTTGAGTAGAATGAGCAGGGAGGAGGAGGTAATGATTGCTCAGCTGCTTAATTGATCACAGGTGCATATTATTACTAACAGCCTTCAGATGTGCCCTGTAGCTAATCACAAGAAACACTTGTGCCTGGGTCGTGACTGCCTCAGTATTCCTTCTGGGCGGCAGAAGCAGTTTGTCAGTTTACCAGTTTGCCAACGTTCTGCTTTTCTGAGAACAGTTTGCTGTTTACCCACATACCCTCCAGTGGTATACTGAGTTGATCACCACCCTCACTTTCTGCAGCAGCCACTAAGGAAGGCGCAGAGGGACTTCCTTTCGGCCTGCAACAGTATCTGTGCTGCCCAAGTGAGTATGGAATTTTAAATTTTCATTCTTAGTCTCTTCCTTCATCCACTGGTCATTCAGGAGCATGTTGTTTAATTTCCATGTATTTGTACAGTTTCAAATGTTCCTCTTGTTATTGCTTTCTGGTTTTGTTGCACTGTGGTCAGATAAGATACCTGGTATCATTTTGATTTTTAAAACATTGTAGAGACATGTTTTGTGTCTTAACATATTGTCAATCCTGGAGAATCTCCCATGTGCTGATGAAAAGAATGTATTTTTCAGCTGTTGAGTGAAACGTTCTGTAAAGGTCTGTCAGGTCCATTTGGTCTACGGTGTAGTTTCAATCCAATGTTTCTTTGTTAATCTTCTATCTAGATGATCTTTTTAATGCTGAGAGAGGGGTTTTAGAGTCCAACTATTATTCTATTGGGGTCTATCTCTCCCTTTAGATCTATTAATAATAATATTTGCTTTATATACCTGGGTACCCTGGTGTTGGGTGCATATATATTTTTAAGTGTTATATTCCCTTGCCAAATTAACCCCCTTATTATTATACAGCGTCTTTGTCTCTTTTTATAGCTTTTGAAGTCTGTTTTGTCTAATATAAGTACAGTTACTCCTGCTCACTTTTGGTTTCCATTTTTGTGGAATATTTTTTTCCATCCCTTCACTTTTAGCCTATATGTTTCTTCACACATGAGGTGAGTTTCTTGTAGGCAGCGTATAGCTGGGTCTTTTTAAAAATCCATTCATGCCGGGTGCAGTGGTTCATGCCTGTAATTCCAGCATTTTGGGGGGCTGAGGGGGGATGATTGCTTGAGCTCAGGAGTTCAAGACCAGCCTGGACAACATAGGGAGACCCCATCTCTACAAAATAATTTAAGAAATTAGCTAGGTGTGGTGGTGCATGCCTGTGATCACAGCTAGTTGTGAGGCTGATAAGGGAGCATCACTTGGGCCTGGGAGGTTGAGGGTGCAGTGAGCCATGATTATGCCATTGCACTCCAGCCTGGGTGAAAGAGTGAGATCCTATCTTGAATGAGTGAATAAATAAATAAATCCATTCAGCCAGTCTATATCATTTAAATGGGGGAATTTAATCCATTTACATTTAGGGTTATTACTGATAGGTAAGGATTTACTCCTATCATGTTGTTGATGTTTTCTGATTATTTTCTATATCAGAAAATAATCGGAAGTGCACACCTTGTGCTCCTAGACCAGGGCAGTGCTGCTGTGTGAATTCCTGGCAGCTCTCCAAGCTGGGCTCAGGGCTTGCAAGGACTGTGGGATTCTCCTGTCGTAAGGACTGTAGGTGTTGGTGGTGGCAATGGGGGCTGATGAGGATCTTCTACTTACCTTTGCCCCGCAAGGGGGTGTCCCTCTTGACTCCCAGCAGATTCAATCCAGGTGGAGGAGATGGAGCTGCAGGGCCAGGTGCCTCGACACTGCCCTCCAATTTGAAGGGCTTCCAATCACCAAAGGTGTGTCTTTTCTCCCTGCTGCGCTTCACATTCTCCCTCTGACACTCCAGTCAAATCTTAGCTATTTATTCATTGTCTTGGTCCTTTCTTGTGGAGGACAAGTGCCAGGGGTCTCTAGTCAGCCACCCTGATGACATTATGCTCTGTGGTTTTAATTTGAATTTTCCTGCAATGCAAATAATTAGTCATGCTTAGTGATGAGTGTTTTTTTATATGCCTGTTGGTCAGCTGCATGTCTTCTTTTGAGAAATGGCTATTCCTTTTGCCCATTTTTAAGATTGGGTTGTTTCTTGTTGTTCTTTTAGTTCCATATAAATAAATATATATGTATTATATATATATATATATTTTTTTGAGACAGAGCCTCACTGTGTCACCCAGGCTGGAGAGCAGCAATGCCATCTCGACTCACTGCAATCTCCACCTCCTGGGTTCAAGTGATTCTCCTGCCTTAGCCTCCCAAGTAGCTGGGACTACAGGCGCCTGCCACCAAGCCAGGCTAATTTTTTTGTATTTTTGGTAGAGACAGGGTTTCGCTATGTTGGCCAGGCTGGTCTTGAACTCCTGACCTCAGGTGATCCGCCTGCCTCGGCCTCCCAAAGTGCTGGGATTATAGGCGTGAGCCACTGCACCCGGCCCCTTATATATTTTGGATATTAACTCTTTATCGGATGCATGGTTTGCAAATACTTTCTCCTATTTTGTAGGCTTTCTCCTCACTCTGTCGATTGTTTCCTTCGCTGTGCAGAAGCCTTTTAGTTTGATGTAATCCCATTTGTCTATTTTTGCTTTTGTTTCCTATGCTTCTGGGTCATATCCAAACAAATGATTGCCCAGATCATTGTCATGGAGCCTTTCCCTACGTTTTCTTCTAGTGGCTTCACATGTTCGGGTTTTGTGTTAAGTCTTTAATCCATTTTGAGTTGAATTTTGTACATGGTATGAGATAAGCGTCCAATTTCATTCTGCATGTGGATATCCAGGTTTCCTGGCACCACTGATTGGAGACACTGTCCTTTTTCGGAGTAGTGAATACACTCCCATCGTTCAGACATTGCAGTTATCCAGCCCAGTGCAAAGGAGAGGCCTCCGTCTCCCCAGCCCTGTCTGCCTGTGTCCTCCACAGGCTGGAGCTTGGCTGGTGCGGTGCCCATGATACCTACTGTGAGTGGCTGTCAGTCTGTTTCAATTGGTCAATTCCTGTGCTATATTGGCCAGCAAGTATCGTAAGTCTTACCCCTGCTTGTAGATACATATTTGTATTAGTGTATGTTTCCAGTAATTCCTTTTTTTTTTTTTTCTGAGACAGGGTCTCATTCTGTTGCCCAGGCTGAAGTGCAGTGGTCAACCTTTGCTCACTGCAGCCTCAACTTGTTGGGCTCAAGCAATCCTCCCATCTCAGCCTCCCCAGTGGCTGGGATTACAGATGTGTACCACCACACCTGGCTAACTTATTTTTTGGTAGACATGGGGGTCTCTCTATGTTGCCCAGGCTGGTCTCAAACTCCTGGCCCCAAATGATCCTCCTGTCTCAGCCTCCCGAAGTGCTGAGACTACAGGCGTGAACACTGCACCTGGCCTTATTCTTTCTTTTCAAAAAATGGACATGCTTGGCTGGGTGGCTCTCTGGAAGCTTCCTTGGCAGCTTAGTGTATGTCAGTGTTTAGAAATGTTCCACTGCCATGTGGTGCCGCACCCCCATTGCTGGGTCAGGAACGTGTCCCTCATCCACCTTATTGCTGATGCTGTTGGTGTCTCAGAAGGGTTTACTATTTCTGCTCATGCTGGGTTGGACTAAGAGAGGGAAAACCCTCCTATCACTAGCAGGTGTTGGCCTCTCCCTCTCCTGACATGAGAATGCATCTTAAATAAAGACCTGCCTCTTTCTCCCATGCCTGAAAAGGGCCAAGATGCTCTGGCTGAAGTTGCCAGGAGGTCAGCACCTCTTCCTTTCCCCTGCATTCTGGGGATTGCCCCCCGCCACTGTCTCTGGTTGAATGTGTCTGTGCAAACCTCTGTAGTGATCTCTGCAAAGGGAGGAGGGGAGTGGGGCCGGGACTAAGCCTGGGACAGAGGTGGGAGCTGGGCCAGGGGGAGCCTCCCTTGGGGCCAGGCAGTGGCAAGAGCCACGTGGAAAAAAGCAAGTCCCTTTGATCAGAAAACCCACTGCTGTCCCTGCACCAGCCTGGGCCAGGACGGGACAGATGGGCCTTGGCAAGCCTCCCACGGACACCACGCAGCCTCACCCCACAGCAGTCAGCCGCCTTAGGTCTGCAGCTCACAGCCCATCCTGCCAGGGACAGTTGGAAGACTGCCTGGAGGAGGCCTTTGGTTCCCAAAAAAGCTGGGCTGAGGCCACAAGGCCCCCTGCAGACCCTCGTCCTCAGACTTGTTTCCACATTTATTTAAAGGATGCAGGGAGGAGCTGGTTTTATATTAATAACAATTAAGTACTCTTCATGTTCAAAACAGAACACTTATTACTTGCAATTTTCTGAGTCAGCCAAGTTCCCAGCCAGTGTATTAAACATGTAACGTTTAGGTAATGAGATGAACTCTTGATTTCAGTACCAGGCCGTGGGTGCATCTCTCCTAGAATTCCGGCAGCCATCGGGCCCCTCTCAGGGCTGGGGGCTGGACGACAGGGGAGCAGGAGAGATGCGTCCATCACAGAGCCATCTGCCTTCGAGGCAGAGTGTGCATGGACTGGGGTACAGGTGGTTTATTTGAGGTGGGCCCAGAGAGAGGGGGAAGGGAGTGGGGATGGTGGGGTGTAGAGGATGGGGGTAAGACAGGGACTGTCACTGAGCTAGTTCCCATCATAGTTCGACCTGGCCAGGGCTGTGAACAAAGTACCTCTGAGCAGAGGGAGGTTTGCATGACCACCCACCTACCCCAGGGCGGCCATCGTGGAGACAGGGCCTGCTGGTGTCCATTTTCCAACGCTTCCTGGCTGAGCCTGTTTCTGAGCCCATGGAGAAGGTTCTAGGCCTGCGGCAGAAAAGTGGGGCCCCCAACTAGTCTCAGAGGAGGGACCCTAACTGTCTGGTGCCACCCAGCTGCACCTGAAATCAGAGTGAGCTGAAGGCATGTGGCCTGGGGCACCCAATGCGTCTGTTAGGGTCTGAGTGCACCAGGGAGGACTGTTCTCTTGTCACCACTCAGGCCACCGTGACTGGACAGTTTTCGCATTGTACCATTTACGTAGGAAGAGATGTAGAAACTGGGCTAGCTGACACCACCCTCCAGGCTATTCGAGTGATGTTTTGGAGGTTGGCTTACTGGCAGCTCAGCCCTCAACCAGCTCTTCCCTCTTGCCACCTTCTTCTGTGCAAGGGGGATGTTATATCACCCGCTGTTAGGTGTGCCAGGGGTTGGCGTGAAAGGCATTGGTGCTGCTCCTATGTCTGAGCCAGGCCACAGCCGGCTTCTGCCATCTGGGCAGTGGGCGGCTCCCTGGTCCCTGAGAACAGCAAGGAAAAGGTGGGGCACAGATGAGGGCCTCCAGCAGGGTGGCTGCTCCTGCCCCAGTCCCGAACCCCACCGCGCAGGGACACAAGCGGGGGACATGAGGCCAAGGCACAGACAGGCCTCTTGGGGAGTGACCTCTGCTTGGAGAGGGAGCACGAGAATCCAGACTGTCAGGAAGCCAAGAAAGACCCAACTGAGTTCAAAATAGGAGCACGGGCCAGGCACGGTGGCTCACGCCTGTAATCCCAGCACTTTGGGAGGCTGAGGCGGGCAGATCACGAGGTCAGGAGATTGAGACCATCCTGGCTAACACGGTGAAACCCCGTCTCTACTAAAAAAAATAAAAATAAAAAAAATTAGCCGGGCGTGGTGGCGGGCACCTGTAGTCCCAGCTACTCGGGAGGCTGAGGCAGGAGAATGGCGTGAACCCGGGAGAGGTGGAGCTTGCAGTGAGCCGAGATTGCGCCATTGCACTCCAGCCTAGGCGACAGAGTGAGACTCCGTCTCAAAAAAAAAAAAAAAAAAAAATAGCATGGGGCATAGTGTTTGGAGCAGCCGTCCACAGCGCCAGGCTTGATTCCATCAGCGCTACTTATTTACATCACACTATACAGCCTAAAACCTGGGAAGAGCGTATTGTTTCTGCACAAGCTCAGGTGGGAGCAGGTTCTTTCTGAAGACACCACACAGTGACAGCAGCAGTTGACAGTGTGCCATGCACAAGATTGAGACTCAGCAAGAGGAGAGGCGCCAGGCTAAAGGCCGGGCATACCCTTGCTGTGCCAGGGGACCTGCCATTGCCTCTTGTACGAAATGGGGTGATGGCTGCAGTCCTGGCAACTGTGTTCCGGGCGCGGCCAAGCCCCAGTGGGCCTGATCTCTGAGCTGCCATGGGGCGAGCCCTGGGCCTCTGTCTGTCTCTCCTCTGCGACATGGAGCTAGGATACCTCCTCCCAGGCTTTTTGTAGGCATTAAAATAATTCAAGGCCAGGCATCGGTGGCTCACGCCTATAATCTCAGCATTTTGGGAGGCCCAGGCAGGTGGATCACCTGAGATCAGGAGTTCGAGATCAGCCCGGGCAACATGGTGAAACCCCGTCTCTACTAAAAATACAAAAATTAGCTGGGCGTGATGGCGTGTGCCTGTAATCCCAGCTCCTCGGGAGGCTGAGGCAGGGGAATTGCTTGAACCTGGGAGGCGGAGGTTGCAGTGAGCTGAGATTGCACCACTGCACTCCAGCCTGGGCAACAGAGCCAGACTCTGTCTCAAAAAAAAAAATATATATATAACATAAAAAAATAAATAAATCCAGGTGTGTTGACTGCATAGAATACATGTTTTAAAGGGGGGAAATTCTATCATAATCCCTGTTTTCAGATGAGACAACAGATGCAGGAGACATGAAGAGTAATTGAGAATCCATGTGGCCCTGCTCCAGGATCTGCTGCTTAACCACAGTGTGGCTCCACTTTTTACAAACAGGGAAGCTCCCTATGGACTGCGTGGGCTGGGTGTGGTGGCATGCGCCTGTTATCCCAGCACTTTGGGAGGCCAAGGTGGGAGGATCACTTGAACCAAGGAGATGGAGGCTGCAGTGAGCTATGAATGTACCACCACACTCCAGAGTGAGTGACAGAGCAACTGTGTCTCAAAAAAAAAAAAAAAAGATGGAAAATGCAGATATGTGGGTAAAAGGGGGAAGAAACTGCAGAGTCTGTGACCCAATCATAGTCACTGATACTGTTTTGATGAATTTCCTTCCAATCTCTTTTGTAATGATAGTGGGGTGGAGTTTTTTGCTTTTATGTAGTTGTTATTATATCACATCACTTTTCTTTTTTTGAGACAGGGTCTTGCTCTGTTGCCCAGGCTGGAGTTCAGTAGTGCAGTCTAGGCTCACTGCAGCCTCCACCTCCCAGGCTCAGGATCCTCCCACCTCAGCCTCCCGAGTAGCTGGGAACACAGATGCAGCCACCACACCCGGCTAATTTTTGTATTTTTTGTAGAGACAGGGTCTTGCTATGTGGCCCAGGCTGGTCTCAAACTCCTGGGCTCAAGTGATTCTCCCACCTTGGACTCCCAAAGTGCTGGGACTACAGGTGTGAGCCACCGTGCCTGGCCTTCACTTTCAAGATTTTTATAAACTGACGTTTTAAGTATTTCCCAGATTATCATAAGCCCCTCTAAAAAGTGTTTATAGATGGAGAGGGTCCAAGTGCAGCTCTGTTATGTGGATATATTGTATACTGGTGAGCTCTGGCATCTAGTGCACCCGTCACCCACGTAGCAAACATCGTGCTCAACAAGTAATTCCACAAACATTCACAAGCCTGTTCTAAACACCATTTTGACAGTGACACAATAGTTCATCAAATGGACAAAGCATGGTTCATGTGACACAGGCTGCGCCTCTGGTCCCAGCTAACAGTTGTTGACGTGCAGGTTGTTTCCAGTTGTTTGCTCCCGCAAAGCAATGCTGCAACATGTGTTTTTACCCATAAAGGTTTGGGAGAGATTTTGCTTCCTCAAAGAGCTCTAGAAGTGGAATTGCTGGCTCAAAGGACGAAAGGTTGGAACTGCTTTTTAAAAAACCAACACCTGGCCAGGCGCAGTGGCTCACGCCTGTAATCCCAGCACTTTGAAAGGCCGAGGCAGGCAGATCACTTCAGGCCAGGAGTTCGAGATCAGCCTGGCCAACATGGGGACTCCATCTGCTGAAAATACAAAAATTAGCTGGGTGTGGCGGTGCATGCCTGTAATCCCAACTACTTGGGAGGCTGAGGCAGGAGAATCACTTGAACCCGGGAGGCGGAGGTTGCAGTGAGCAGAGATCATGCCACTGCACTCCAGCCTGGGCGACAGAGACTCCATCTCAAAAACAAACAAACAAAGGTGACACCTTAGAGAATCTCCCACCGAGCCCCAGGAGGCAGTATCTTCCCTTTTTTGGACTATTTGCTCACCTGGGATATTATTTATGGAGGGATTGGTTAAATGGACGGATGAAAATGCGCATCAAAAAATATCTGCACCAAGGTTGGGCTCACACCTGTCATTCCAGCACTTTGGGCTGAGGTGGGAGGACTGCTTGAGCTCAGAGTTCAAGACCAGCCTGGGCAACATGGTGAGACCCCATCTCTACAAAAAAATACAAAAATTAGCTGAGTGTGGTGGCTGTGCCTGTAATCCCAGCTACTCAGGAGGATGAGGTAGGAGAATCTCTTGAACCCAGGAAGCGGAGGTTGCAGTGAGCATAGATCACACCACCATAGTTCAGCCTGGGCAACAGTGAGATCCCGTCTCAAAAAAAACCAAAAACCATAAACTGCACCGGACTCAGGACTGGCTTTCCCTGCACCCGGAGCGGCTTCTAGAACGCCTGGTGAGCCCAAGAGGAGGAAGCGCGCGGTGAAACACTGAAAGCCACACACAGTGTGAAAACTCACGTGATTACTTTAAAGTTACCTGGCTTTCTATTAAAAATGTGAGGCTGGGCGCGGTGGCTCGTGCCTGTAATCTCTGCACTTTGGGAGGCTGAGGTGGGCAGATCACCTGAGGTCAGGAGTTCAAGACTAGCCTGGCCAACATGGTGAAACCCCATCTCTACTAAAAATACAAAAAATTATCTGGGCATGGTGGTGGGTGCCTGTAATCCCAGCTACTCAGGAGGGTGAGGCAGGAGAATCGCTTGAACCCAGGAGGCGGAGGTTGCAGTGAGCCGAGATCATGCTACTGCACTCCAGCCTGGACAGCAGAGTGAGACGGCGTCTCAAAAAAGAACAATTTTGAGATGACAATGGGTTGACGTGTGGTATAAGAAGTAATCCAGGGAGGTCTTGTGCACCTTTCCTGAGTTTCCCCAGTGGTGACGTTTCGTAACATTGGATCACAGTGTCACAGCCAGGTATTGACGTGGACACAGTCCAGATCCAGAACATTCTGTTTCCGCAGGAGCCACTCTGTTGCCCTCTTCTAGCCACACCCTCCTCCCTCCTTACCCCACACCCCTGTGGCCCCTGGCAAACACTTGTCTGTTCTCCATTTCTATAATTTTGTTATTTCAAGATGTTGGATAAAAGCAACTGCACGGCGTGTCACCTTTTGGGGCTGAAGGGGCTTTGTGTTTTGTTTCTGAGACAAGGTCTCTCTCTGTTGCCCAGGCTGGAGTGCAGTGGCCCAATCACAGCTCACTGCAACCTCGGCCGACCTGGCTCAAACAATCCTCCCACCTCAGCCTCCCAAGTAGTTGGGACTACAGGCACATGCCACCAGGCCCAGCTAGGTTTTGTATTTTTTGTAGGGACGAGGGTCTCCCTATGTTGCTCAGGCTGTTCTTGAACTCCCGAGTTCAAACGATCCTCCTGCCTGAGCCTCCCACAGTGCTGGGATTCCAGGCACAGCCCCCGCACCTGACCTGGAAGGTTTTTACTCAGCATTATTCTCTGGAAGTTCCTCCAGGCCTTTGTGGGGATGGTTTGTTCCTTTCTGCTGCTGAGTAGTATTCTGGGTGTGGATGGGCCACACTGTTTGATGATTCAGAGGCTGAGGGATGTCTGGATTGTGTCCGGTTCTGGGCAGCTTGCTGTGAACATTCACTGACTGGCCCTTCCTTTTGCCCTCTGTGCAGAGGGCCCGAGCAGTCCCTCTGGTTAGATAAGGCAGACACAATGTCCCAATACATAATTTAACAGGCTCTTTGCAGCCTGGAGACGATGTAATGGGTTACCAGGAAAAACCATTTGAGTTCAAGTTCCAGCAACTTTTCAAAAACAATAAAACAAAATAAAAAACACCCCAAATGCTGCCTCATGAAAAAAGGTACTAAAAAAAAAAAAAAAAGAATGAACATCGATTGACAGGACTAGCATCATTTCACCATGATTCATTAAAAGAAAGTGCCAAACCAGTGTTTGTGCTGAATTCAAGCATTTTCTAAATTCCCAAGTGGAAAAAAAAAATCTCTTATAGGTCTGCTCAGAGGGAAAATAGGCTTGCAGTCCACTTACTGCCCACGCACCAAAGGCTGCCTGGACCAGAGCCGGTGGGATTGGAGGAGGGGATTCTGCCTTTGCCTCCCTTCCTCCAGAAAGAACACTCCCTAACGTGGGAGCCCATCCAGCCGCACAACGCTGTGTCCACGTCTTCGGGAAGGGGAATGGCTAGTGTCTGTCTTCTCAGAGCAGCTGGACTCAGTTCTCTGTGAGAACAGTACAAAGACATAGATATTCCTCGGCTTGGAGTCTACACTTGGTATTGTCGGGTTTTTATTTTTTATTTACTTATTTTTTGTTTTTTGAGACAGAGTCTAGCTCTGTTCCCCAGGCTGGAGCGCAGTGGTGCAATCTCGGCTCACTGCAACCTCCGCCTCCCGGGTTCAAGCGATTCTCCTGCTTCAGCCTCCCAAGTAGCTGGGATTACAGGTGCACGCCACCACGCCTGGCTAATTTTTTGTATTTTTAGTAGAGACGGGGTTTTACCATGTTGGCCAGGCTGGTCTCGGACTCCTGACTCCTGAGGCCCACCTCAGCCTCCCAAAGCACTGGGATTACAGGCATGAGCCACCGTGCCTGGCCTCGTCAGGGTTTTTAATTATAAATTTAAATTTTATCGATTTGAGTACATGTGAAGTGGCATCTCATTTTCATTTTAACTTGCATTTCCCTGATGTCTAATGAGCGCTGAGTGTCTTTTCCTGACATAACTGGTCCTTTCTGTCTTTCTCCTGTTGTTCTTTCCCTGACTTCTTTTGGATTAGTCAGATATTTTCTATTATTTCTCTTTTCTTTATTGGCTTCTTAGCCAAACCCCTTTTGTTCATTTTTTCCCTAGTGCTTTTTCTCCTGGGCACAGACTACGTATGCCTCACATATCAAATTTAATGTAGGGTCAATATTGTATCACTTCAGTCTTCCCTCTTCATACATAACCCTTTGCATCTTGCACCTCACACCTGGAGTTCCACACTTCACAGTGTGAGGAGCTTATCAGTGGGTTACCTCTCACCATCCATCCTTCACACTGTCCTTACCTTTTACTTCTACACACACTGTAGAAGTATCACAAGCTATTGTTTGTTTTAAACAGTCAGTGGTCTCTTAAAGAAATTATGAGAAGGGCCGGGTGCAGTGGCTTATGCCTGTAACCCAGCACTTTGGGAGGCCAAGGTGGGCAGATCACCTAAGGTCAGGAGTTCAAGGCCAGCCTGGGGAAGACCCCCTGCCGTCTCTACAAAAAATTAAAAAATTAGCTGGCATGGTGGTACGTGCCTGTGGTCCCAGCTACTTGGGAGGCTGTAGTGGGAGGATGGCTTGAAGCCAGAAGACTGAGGCTACAGTGAGCCGTGACTGTGCCCCTGCACGCCAGCCTGGGCGACAGAGCAAGACCCTGTCCCCCCACCAAAACATTTTTTTTCTCTTGATCTATTTCACCAGTTTGAGTATGATATGCCTGCATGTAATTTTCTTTGTATGTGTTCTCTTCAGGTTTTGCTGAATTTCTTGATCTGTAAATCAGTATTTTTCACCACGTGTTTGGATTTGGAGCCATCATTTTGCAAAAATGTTTCCTTCCTAGACTCATACTCTCCTTCTGGAGCTCCGATCACACATGCTTTTGGCCATTTCATACTGTCCCATAGGTCTCTGAGGTTCTCTCCACTTTTCTTCAACTTTTTTCTCTTCTTCAGATTAAATAATTTCTATCCATCTGCCTTCAAGATCCCAAACTCCTGTTTTCTCCAATCTGTTAATCCAATTCAGTGAAATTTTCATTTCTGTTATTGTACTTTTCAGTTCTAGACTTTTCTTTTGATTCTTTTAGATACTTTGTTATTCTGCTGTGAATTTCTGATTCTTTACTCATTAAGACAATATTTTCATTTAATCCTTTGGACATATTATTTTTATTTATTTTGAGATGGAGTCTTGCTCTGTCACCCAGGCTGGAGTGCAGTGGCACTATCTTGGCTCACTGTAACCTCCACCTCCCGGATTCAAGCGATTCTCCTGCTTCAGCTTTCCGAGTAGCTGGGGCTACAGGCGTGCGCCACCACACCCAGCTAATTTTTGTGTTTTTAGTAGAGATGGGGTTTCACCATGTTGGCCAGGCTGATCTCAAACTCCTGGGCTCAAGTGATCTGCCCACCTCGGCCTCCCAAATTTCTGGGATTACAGGTGTGAGCCACCGTGCCCAGCCTCCTTTGGACATATGTAGAGCTGCTTTAGAATCTTTGTAAATACAGAATCTGGTTCATTGTAGGGGGATTGGTTTCTGTTAACTGCTTTTTTTTTTTCTTAACTATGGCTTACGTTTTCCTCTTTCTTTGTATGTTTAGTGATTTTTGTTTTTTTAGTGTATATTCAACACTGATAAATAACAAATGAGGGAGACTCAGGGTGCTCTTCCACTGAAAAATCCTGACTTTCGTTCTAGTTTGTAGTTCCATTACTGGACGTACCATGCTGGGCTGTGTAGGCTTAGCTTTAGGCTCTGTTTACTGAGCAATGTCCCAGGTGTCTCCCAGGCCCCTCTTACTTGGCAGGACTTAACCTCCAAACTCTGACCGTCTTGTGGATCGGGTCAGGGTTTTGCTTTAGACGTTGTTAAGGCGGGCCTGGAGTAGTCCTTATTCTAGGGGAGGGACTGGCAACCTCTGGCTCACAAGCCACATGTGTTGATGGCCTGTTTTTGTACAGCACTTAAAGCCAGGAATGGCTTTTATATTTTTAAAGAGTTGTTTAAAAAAAAAAAAAAAACAAGCAAAAATATGAAACAAAAACTGCATGTGGCCCACACAACCTAAAATACTTATCTGGGCCCTTTATAGGTCGTTTGCTGACCCCTGGGAATGTGATTCTCAATCTAGTGTCTCAGCTCAATGTCCTCAGTGTTAATGGCATTAAAAAGGTCTTGACTGGGCACGGTGGCTCGTACTCGTCATCCCAGCACTTTGGGAGGATTAGGCAGGAGGACTGCTTGAGGCCAGGAGTTCAAGACCAGCCTGGGCAACAGAGTGGGACCCTCTCTCTACAAAAAAAGAAAAAATTAGCCGGGCGTGGTGGCACTCACCTGTGGTCCCAACTACTTGGGAGGCTGAGGTGGGAGGATCACTTGAGCCCAGAAGTTCTAGGCTGCACTGAGATAACGATCAAACCACTGCACCCCAGCCTAGGTGACAGAACAAGACTGTCTGAAAAGAAAACAAAACGGAAAGTCCTTTCCTGTAGCACTACTGGACCTCTAGTCTTTGTGCCATCCTCAACTCTGTAACAGCCGCTTCCTGGTAAACCCATAGAGTCGTCCCACACGTGTAGTCCAGCCTAGGCCAAGGACTTTCAGGGAACCCTACATCGACTTCGGCTCCCCACTCTTGCTAAGCTTCTTCCCCTCCAGTGCCCTGCCTTGCCGGCCTGCTGCTTTAGCTGCCCAGAAGTCTGGTCTCTTGCCTCTCACACCATTACAGTGCACCACACTACACTATGTTCACACATTTAGCAGCTGTGTTCACACCCAAACTATCTCATATATACATTTTGTTAAAAAAAACTTCAGGACTCTCTAAACTTATGATGCCAAGGGTGAAGTTAAGCCCTGGAGACTGAGTCAGTAGCAAGTTTGCAATTCTGCTTCTTCGATTACAGTTTAATGCTCTTCCTCCTTGTTCTTGAGCACAAGTGTCTTCCTCATTGTGGCTGCTCTGTAAATCAGGGCTCCCCGACCGCCAGGGCCACAGACACATACCGGTCAGGCCACACAGCAGGAGGTGAGCTTCAGGCCAGGGAGCAAAGCTTCATCTGTATTTACAGCTGCTCCCCATCGCTGGCATTACCGCCTGAGCTCCGCCTCCTGTCAGGTCAGCAGCAGCGCTGGATTCTCCTAGGAGGGTGAACCCTGTTGTGAACTGCACATTGGAGGGGTCTAGGTTGCGTGCTCCTTATGAGAATCTCATCCCTAATGATGTGTCCCTGGCTTCCATCATCCCTAGATGTGACCGTCCAGTTGCAGGAAAACAAGCTCAGGGCTCCCACTGATTCCACATTATGGGAAGTTGTATTTTATTACATATTACAACATAAAAATAATAAAGTGCACAATAAATGAAATGTGTTTGAATCGTCCTGAAACCACCCCAACTTTGTCTGTGGAAAAACTGCATTCTATGAAACTGGTCCCTGGTGCCAAAAAGGTTGGGGACTGCTGCTGTTAATGACTAAGAAAGACCAGGTCTCCCCCTTCCCATTTGGTGATTTTTGTTACAGATTAGCTGTCTCCATTGTCCTGTACCTGACTTAGACCAGACAGCACAGAGACCCCAGGACTGTTTCATCTTCAGTGGGTCCCCAAAGAAAAAGACCACCTCGACTAAACAGACTGTTGTAACTATGCATTAGGCCTTATACAGAAAAGACGCTGAAATTCGGTTAGGCTTCCCGAGACGCTGGCTATAGAAACGACCCCAAATTTCTACGTTTGAGAACACTGACTTCCATTCTTTATAATGTTTCCTGGGCGCCTCAAGCTTCGCATTTGACTAAACTCTAGATTCTGACCCTTTTGATTATTTTTGGTTGACAGTTTTTGTCATTTTATGGCTGGGAGTGATGGCTCACACCTGTAATCTCAACACTTTGGGAGGCCAAGGCTGGAGGATCACTTGAGCCCAGGAGTTTGAAACCAGCCTGGAAAACATAGTGAGATCCCGACAAAAGAAAAGAAAAGAAAAAAATTAGCTGGGCGTGGTGGCTGCCCCCGTGGTCCCAGTTACTGGCGGAGGGGGTGGGGCGGGGGGAAACAAGGCGGGAGGATCGCTTGAGCCTGGAAGGTGGAGGCTGCAGTGAGCCGTGTCCCGCCACTGCACTCCAGCCTGAGCCAACTGAGGAAGACCCTGCTCCAAAGAAAAAAAGAAAAAGAAACACCCGCGCCCCGCCCCCCCCGTTTACGTGCACAAGAAGCCCATATGCAGTTAAGTGTGAGGTTTATTTTGTGGCATTCCGAAATGCCGAGGGCCAGGTCCCCACAAAAACATTTGCGGCGTGAGGGAAACGGGAAGAGCCCAGCGGTAGGCGGAAGGCACGCGCCGGGGACACTCAGCGGCGAGGGCCTGCGGGAGCCCCCAGCGCGATAAGGAGCCCGGCCGGGGAGCAGCGGCCCGCCGCGGGACGCCCGAGCTGCGGGGAACGCGAGGGCAGCGAGGCCGGCGTCTCTGGTCCGGGAGCGTCCAGGCTCGCTCACCGCGCGCGAGGCCCGCCTGCCGAGTCCTGGCCTCAGCTCCGGCGCAGGGCCCAGCGGGGCGCCCACTGCCGAGGGAGGAAGATGGACGTGTCCCGGGAGCCCCGCTCCGCCTCCCACTTCCCACCTCCCGGTCCCGCGCGGCCGGCCCGGGCGCACTTCCGTCGGAGGCGAAGCGCGGCGAAGACCCGCCCCGTGAAGCCTCGCGCGCCCCGGAAATGGTCATGCGGCGGCGCCGAGGCCGGAAGTGGCTGAGGCCGGCAGCAGCGGGCGGCAGCTGCGGCGCAACCGGCTCCGGAGCTGCCTGGCGCGGCCGGGCGGGCGGCGCCGCTCAGGCTCGGGCTCCGGCTGGGCCCGGCGCGGCCTCGGGGCTGCCCATGGGGCGCGGGGGGCCGGGCCGGTGACGCCGGACGCCCATGGACGCCTCTGAGGAGCCGCTGCCGCCGGTGATCTACACCATGGAGAACAAGCCCATCGTCACCTGTGAGTGCCCGGAGGCGGGGAGGGCGCGGCGGTCGTTGGGCGGGCCCGGGCCCTGGCGTTATGCACCCGGCGCCCCCAGACCTTCAGCCCCCGGCGCGCTCCGGGCTGGGCCGCTTCCTGGAGGTGTGACCAGGGCTGCGGCTGAGGCGGGGCCCTCTGACTTTTCGGGGACGCCCTCTGACCTTCCCGCCGGGCGACCTCTGACCCCTGGGGGGCGCCCTCGGGCCGGCTGCAGTTGGAGCCGGTGGAACCCGGCGGACTCTGCCCGGGACTGGGCGCGCGCCGGCGTCGAGGGCGAGGAGCGGGGGCTGCCACCGCCCCGTCCCGCCCCCGTTGAGCCGCGCGCCCGGGACCTGGGGGCCCCGGCCTCTTCCGCCGGGCGGTTTTGCCCGCGGGCGCCCTTTCCCCGACTACGGGGAAGTCCTTGGGGGCTCGCAGAGTTGCAGGCGTTGGCGAAGTAGGAACAGTTTGTTGCGGGGTGAAGCGTCAGGCAGAGCCGCCGGGACTGCTTTCGCTCCTACACACTTCCCCGCCGCGCACTCAAACCATTTTACGGATGAGAAAGCCGAGGCTCGGGCGCTTAGGCGAGCTTGCTCCCCATGAACAGCCTCCCGCTCGAGTCTACACTACGGACACCTGGTGCCTCTTGGGTGTCGTGTCCTCCCCGCACCCCTCCTTTAATGCATACACAAAGGAACTGTTTTTCTGTTACGGGAAAAATGTTCCCTAAATTTTAGAAGTGTGACTCTCCAGAGTTAAATACGGTTAAGAACAGTGAGCTTATGGGAAGTATTGAAATGTTTGTTGGTTGGCTTTTAGGTGACTTGCAGAGAGGTGTTTCAGACTGTTACGATTTTTGACCTTTGACAGTATTCTGTATTTTCATGCATGTATGCAGTTAGTTTTTTTCTAGTTGTCTTTCGTGCTTGGAAAGGAAGCACTCTCTGTTGCAAAATCTGGGTGCCCAGGCCACAGTAGACTGTATGTCGTGAGAACTCCTGTTTCCCTCTCACTCTGTCAGCGGGTGTGCACCTGCTGTGTTCCTTCCTGTTAGATCCCTGAGAAACTGTATATTGAAGGTTGAATTTTGTTGCTTCAGCTTTAGGTGATAGACTTATTTCTTTCCTTCCTTTTGCTTTATTTTGTCTCTTCTCCTCTCCTCCTCTCTCTTTTTTTTCTACAGAGACCTAGACGAGATGATAGACTTTTCTTAGGGAAGTGGACTGTGTCTCATTTAAAATTGGAGACTTGCATAGTTCAGCAGTAGCTGTCTTTTTTCCTCCCCAGAATATTTGTCAGCTGAAAGTCTTTTCCTACTCTGCACCTTCAGCCCCAGAGGGCAGATGTGGGTAGAGCTGGTCTGCAGGCCCTGCAATTTCCCAGGGGCTTTCCCAGTGCTCAGGGAAGATGAAGCCATGCGCAGTTCATGTTAAGTTTTACTGTCTTCCAGAGGTTGAACATTTTTCTCCTAAAGTGCTGTGCACGTTGTGAATGCTGGATACACATTCATTGCCTGTACGGACATCCACACATCTAATTTTATCTTCTACCTCCTAGCTTGCTTACATTTCAATAGCAATATGTATTTATAGGCATTATGTAAATACATTTCTGAGGAGAAAGTTCCTAAGCTCTATTGGATTCAACCATAACTAAAGGGGTAAAGTTTGTTATCTGGTTGCCAGTGTTGGAGATATTTAATGTTTAGTTTTGTACATGCGTGCATCACGGACAGCTGAAGGATGCGGTTTTCTTTCCTACAGATTTATTGGATTGTCATCTTGGTGGTGGGTTTTTTCCTGTGTTTTGAGCAGCAGAGTGAATTTTTTTTTTTCCTTCTTCTTCTTTTTTGAGACGGCGTCTTTCTCTGTCGCCCAGGCTGGAGTGCAGTGGCATGATCTCGGCCATGATCTTGGCTCACTGCAACCTCTGCCTCCCGGGTTCAAGCGATTCTCCTTCCTCGGCCTCCCGAGTAGCTGGGATTACAGGCGCATGCTGCCATGCCCGGCTAATTTTTTGTTTGTTTGTTTTTGTTTTTTTTTTTTTTCAGTAGAGACAGAGTTTCACCATGTTGGTGAGGCTGGTCTCGAACTCCTGACCTTGGGTTGTCCACCTGCGCAGCCTCCCGAAGTGCTGGGATTACAGGCTTGAGCCCCCACCCTTGGCCTCAAGCAACATAGTGAATGTTAATCTCTGCATGGATGGTACACTGTCCTAGAAGGTGCAAACTTTCATTCATTGGAGTCTCAGAAGAGAAGGGGGCTTCAGTAGACTGTCAAAGTTAACTTGAAAAATGATCACTTTAAAAGTGAAGGTAAAAAGCTGACTTCATACTTCCCACTTGAAATTATGTTGTGGTATATCTGGGACTGAAGCTTTAGGAAGCACTTGGCCTGGTTTCACTTTATGCCTTCATCTTGCTCCTCTCTTTCAGCTATACATGTTTTGAAAGGAGAAGGTGGTATGAACAATTGCTTTAAAAAAATCCACCCAGAGGCTAATTAACCCTTAACTTTTTAATATTATGTACATAGTTCTCTTAGTAGGCAACATTTTTGTTTTCAAAAATCTTTTAAATTCTTACTTGAAATGGTATTACCTCAGATCTGTTCATTTTAAAATGAAAGTAGAGTTTATGCATGTTGTGAATTTTTTTTCCATAGAATGTATAATATTTTACTTCAGTGAAAATGCATTCTGCTTAGACCTTTCTGGGAAGAATATAGAATGTAACTGGTTCAGGTGAATTTAAAAACTGTGTATATGTAGGGATAGAAGAATGAAAAGTTCCCAAAGATTAAGGGTAATTAGAATAGATTATTACTTTAAAACCTAGCTGATTATTTCACTTCATTTTATTATTATTATTTTTTTAGAGATGGGGTCTCGCTCTGTCACCTAGGCTAGAGTGCAGTGGCATGGTCATAGCCGACTGCAGCCTTGCTGGGCTCAAGTGACCCCTCCCTTAGCCTGCCAAGTAGCCAGCACTACAGGTATGACCCACCTCACCTGGCCTGAATTATTTTAATAATATTTTGAAGCTCTCCAAATTTTTTTTTTTTTTTTCTGTCTGAGACAGAGTCTTGTTCTCTTGCCCAGGCTGGAGTGCAGTGGCGCGATCTCGGCTCACTGCAACTTCTGCCTCCCGGGTTCAGTCGATTCTCCTGCCTCAGCCTCCCAAGTAGCTGGGATTACAGGCGTACACCACCATGCCCACCTAATTTTTGTATTTTAATAGAGACACAGTTTCACCTTGTTGGCCAGGCAGGTCTAGAACTCCTGACCTCAGGTGACCTGCCCGCCTCGGCCTCCCAAAGTGCTGGGATTACAGGCGTGAGCCCCCGCACCTGGCCCTAAATGTTTTAATAGACTTTAGCCCATAATTAAACCTCCTGCCTAACGGGCTCCTGTGAAGAGGGACTAGCACAGTAGGGGCCTTCTTAAACTCAGAACTAGTTACAGCTTGTAAATACTGAAGAGTGTATGTGAAATGTGCAGGGATGGGAGCTGAACAGTTAGTGGAACTAATGCTTTGACGGGGTTGGGTGATGAATGACCGAATCATAGCAATAGGAAAACTTGTAGTATATTTTATTAATCATGAAAAATGCCTGGCGTAACTGAAACAAATCCAGCAGATCCATTTGGTCTAAATTTAAATTTTAGCGTAGATTTGTTTTTCAGCCACAGGGTCAGTTTTCTGTTTTGAAATAGACTTGGGTTTCTGTTCCAAGGGTGTATTAGGAAAGACACGTTCCTTTTCCAGCCATCTCATTCAGTTAGTGACAAAGTTAATGTAATTCCAGTGATTTGTGGCTTTTCTTTGTTGACTGTCCTCATACCTACAATAGCACATACCTGTTATTAGCTTGGAATTGAATTTCTCTGAACAATAATAGTACCCTCCCTCTAGGTGATCTGTTCTCATTAGTCACATCTGTTGCCTGTTTCATTTTTCTGAGTTTCTGTATTTGGGGTTCCAGGTCTGATATTAGAAACTTTTAAAGGGGAAAACAGGCAACAGAAATGAGCAGATATGTAGAGCTTCGTGTCTGGTTGGACTTTGGGATTTTCCCCTGTAGGTTAAAATTTTTTTAATTTTAATTTTTATTTTTTGAGACGGAGTCTTGCTTTGTTGCCCAGGCTGGAGTGCAGTGGTGTGATCTTGGCTAACTGCAAGCTCCGCCTCCCGGGTTCACGCCATTCTCCTGCCTCAGCCTTCCGAGTAGCTGGGACTACAGGCGCCCGCCACCACGCCTGGCTAATTTTTTGTATTTTTAGTAGAGACGGGGTTTCACCGTGTCAGCCAGGATGGTCTTGATCTGACCTTGTGATCTGCCCGCCTCAGCCTCCCAAAGTGCTGGGATTATAGGCATGAGCCACCGCGCCCAGCCAGGTTAAAGTTTTTAAATTTGCACATTGAAATTTTCTACTAAACCTGAAAATGTGGTGCTTGCGATTTAACCATCACTAGTTTTACTACCAGAAAAGTCACTTGAAATGTCTGTTTAAATGGGTGAATATGTTATAAATGCAGATTTTGTTTCATATTGAATTCTCAAGGCAATGTTGAACCAAAGATTGAAAAGTAGGAGAAACATTCTTCTTAGGAAATCGCAGTTGTTGCAGAGAGTATGTATTTGGAGGCGGGGACTAAAGGCACCAACAAATGTGCTTAACTTACTATGTCATTTCTACCCGAGCATGGTTACAAACCATTCCATCTTGTACGCATGACCTCGGTTCTTACATAATTTCACAGACCCTTAGCTGTGAAACGGGTACAGTACCAACCCCATCGGGTTGAGAAGGGTGTGTAAAGCACTCAGGAGAGTGTCAGGATTATAGTCAGTGTGCAAAAAAAGTTACTAAGGAGAGGTTCCTCAATTTTCTCTGTTCACAATGCTTTTAGTGTCTCGGTAATTTTTTTCATGGCATCTCTAGGCTAAAAGGAATACTTAAAAATTCCATTTATTAAGTAGTTAGATTCCAGTAATTTATTAAATATTATGTCCTAACAAGAGCTGTTTGAAAAAAAATATATATAAGTTGGAAGAAAAAAATATTTTCATCATTCTTCCTAATTGCAGCAGTGTGCTACGTGGGGGGCAGGCCCTGCGGGAGCTCTGTGGCACCTCTCACCTGAAGGTCGGATTGGACGCTGCTTCTCCCTTTGGTTTTTTTTTTTTCTTCTTCTTTTTGGTGGTACTTGCTTTTTATCAGAGCAGCCACCCTGTTTTGCGACGATAATGATGTCATCGAAAGAAGTGGAGCCCTGATCTGATGTTGACACTGTGAATACCTTGTGTGGGGTTCCTACACCACAAGCATTGCTGTTTCCCTCATAAATTTAAAATATCTCTTGGTGCCTCTCTGCGTAGTGTGTGGGAAGCCTAGGTACACAGTTTGGGAACCCGTGCTGTTAGTGTTATTAGCCCAACTCCAGGGTGGATTTGAACTGATACTTTAGAATTGAAAAGCTTCCTTTCTTTTCAGCTCACACACCTACTTTACTACAAGATGTGTTTCTGAAGAGTTTCTAGTAAGTTCTTTATGCAAATGAAATGGAAAGGTCTGATTTTCTTTTTTTTTTTCTTTTTTTCTTAAGTGCTGATGAATCTCTGAAATAATCAAGTATGATACAGCTTGGGCAACATAGGGAATTCCTATCTCTACAAAAATGAAAATAAAAAAGTTAGCCAGGTGTGGTGGTGTGCGCTTGTACTCCCAGCTACTTGGGAGGCCGAGGCGGGAGGATCACTTGGACCTGGGACGTCAAGGCTGCAGTGATCTGTGATTGTACCTCACACTGCAACCTGGGTGACAGAGCAAGACCTGGTCTCAGAAAAAAAAATAAAGGCTGGGCGCAGTGACTCATGGCCATAATCCCAGCACTTTGGGAGGCCAAGGTGGGTGGATCATGAGGTCAAGAGATTGAGACCACCCTGGCCAACATGGTGAAACCCCGTCTCTACTAAAAATACAAAAATTAGCTGGGCGTGGTGGCTCGCGTCTGTAGTCCCAGCTACTCGGGAGGTTGAGGCAGGAGAATTGCTTGAATCTGGGAGGCGGAGGTTGCAGTGAGCCGAGATCATGCCACTGCACTCCAGCCTGGCGTGAGACTCCGTCTCAAAAAAAAAAAAAAAAAAGTATGTCGGGCATAACACATGAACCAGTCTTTCCTTAGAGAGTTTTTGCTGTGTGCTTCCACCAGAGGCCTGCCAACTGACAGTGTGATTGTGTGGCTCACTCTGGCTGAGTTGGTTATCTTTTAATGGAAATACAAATAACTGACTTAAGGATTTTTTTGTCGTAGGAAAGTTTGTTGCCAGTTGACAGAGTGTCTTCCCTGGAGTCGCATGCCTTAGTGTGTAAGTGTGTGGTCTCCAAAGGTATTGCACACTGATCTCCAAGTACTGACCCTCCCACCCCCGTGCTCCACTCTAGACCTGGTGGCTTTAGATCTGGAGTTAGAGACCAGCAACGGCAGAAGATTACAGGGTCTTTTTTTTTTAAGACATGGTCTCACTGTGTCGCCCAGACTGGAGTGCAGTGGCATGATCTCGGCTCACTGCAGCCTTGACCTCCTGGGGTCAGGTGATTCTCCCACCTCAATCTCCCGAGTAGCTGCTTGTGTGCCACCATGCCCAGTTAATTTTTTGTATTTTCAGTAGAGATGGGGTTTCGCCATGTTGCCCAGGCACGTTTTGAACTCCTGGATTCAAGCAATCCGCCCTCTTTGGCCTCCCAAAGTGCTGGGATTACAGGCATAAGCCACTGTGCCCAGACAGCTGCAGGGTCTTAAACAGTCAAAACATTCCCACCTCAGTGCCTGCCTCTGTGGTGGGTTGCCTCAGAGCTTCCTGTGGCTTCCTGTCCTGTGTCTCACCTTCTTTCTTCCTCAAATCTTTCCTCTATCTGCTCTTAATGTCAAATATAGTCACAGTATTTTGGCCTTAGAGAATATTTGTTTTTAAATTAAAAATTGATAACCTTGGAGTCATTTATGACTTCTTTTTTCTCTCACAACTGACATTATCTTTGAAATATATCTAGAATCCAGCTATATATAGGGCCTGCCTGGATAATCTGGGATAATCACATCTTGAGCTCCTGAACTTAATTAAGTCTACAAAGACCCCTTTCCCAAATAAGGTGACATTCACAGGTTTTGAGGGTTAGGATGTTGTGGGGCACCATGCCACCTGCCGCACCACTGTCTGTGTTAGCTACCAAGCGCGCAGTGGCCGGCATTCATCAAGCGTCTTTGGTTTTAGACAGCTGCGTCTGTCTTTGGAGGTTTGTCCTTCGTGTACTCCTGACCGAGGGAATGTTATCTTGACATTTGGGCTTCTGGGTTCTAGATGTGGTTACAAGGTGGGGTGATCCCTTCTTAGGAAAAGTCCAGCCTCTTCTGTGCTCTCTCCCTTATGTGGCTTTTTGGACATTTGTTACATGGTGTTTAATTTCTGAATATTATTTTAGGCCCCTGTTTGCAATTTTTTTTTTTTAACAGTGACCAGGGACCATTCCATTGTATGTTTGGACATTTTTCTTTTCTTTTCTTTTTTTTTTTTTGAGACAGAGTCTCGCTCTATTGCCCAGGCTGGAGTGCAGTGGCGTGATCTCGGCTTACTGCAAGCTCCGACTCCGCCTCCTGGGTTCACGCTATTCTCCTGCCTCAGCCTCCCGAGTAGCTGGGACTACAGGCGCCCACCACCACACCTGGCTAATTTTTTTGTATTTTTAGTAAGGATGGAGTTCACCGTGTTAGCCAGGATGGTCTCGATCTCCTGACCTTGTGATCTGCCCGCCTCGGCCTCTCAAAGTGCTGGATTACAGGCATGAGCCACCGCGCCTGGCCCATTTTTCTTATTTTTAACTGAGATCTGTTAGCAGTTTGAAGCGATTGTATACATTTCAGAGTTAGCTGGGCATGGTGGTGCGTGCTTCTAGTCCTAGCTACTTGGGAGACAGGCCAGAGGATCGCTTGAGCCCAGGAATTTGAGGCTGCGGTGAGCCATGTTTGTGCCACTTCACTCCAGTCTGGGCGACAGAGTGAGACCCTGTCTCAAAAAACAAAAAACAAAAAAAAACAATTTCAGGGTTGAAATTTTTAGCAGAGCCTTGGAACTGACAACCACCTGTTTGGATAGTAACTTTAACTCAATCTGTAGCTTGCCATTTGTGGGCACTGTCAGTTCACCTAGACCAGTCAGCAAGCTCTAAACATCCAGGTTAATGAGAAGGGCCGTCAGAAGTCATTTTGAAGTTGAGGAGCTGAGGGCTGGTTTTGCTGTGACTGGCCATGATCAGTGTAACTGTTTAGTAGCACAGCTCGGACCAATATTAGCATGTCTGATGACTCCTGCTTTACCAAGTACTTAGGGAAGGCAGACACCATCTGTTCACATGGAAGCAGGGAGTTTGTCCCTAAAATTATGCTTCTGAGAAAGCCTTTGCCATATAATTAAATAAAAATGTCACTTTAGCATTCTAAGAATTGAGTAAGTAAGCTATACACTAGAAATTTTTAGTATAGTCTTATTCCAAAATTAAATTCCTATTCTGAGAACTTGATACCCAGCACTGTCTTTGCTTCTCCTGTAGTCTGTTCTGTCCTTTGGGGATCCTGGGTTGTCTAGTGTGGAGTATGGAGGAGTTGGGCTGTTTTCATCAGTGAGCAAACATTTACGGAGGACCTATTACATGCCAGTTACTGCTGAAGGGGCTTGGGTTATGTCAGAGAGCAAAGATCCCAACCCTTTGAGAGTTTACATTCTGTCAAGAAGAGATAGACAATAGACAAATAATGTTAGGTGACAAGTGCTATGGAAAAAAGAAAAAGAGAAGGATAAGGGAAATGGAAGAACTGTAACATTTCACATATTTTATTATAAAAGTGCAATATGTATCAAAGTAGACAGAATATTATAAAGAGACCCTACAAACCTTTCACCCAACTACAGCAATTAGGTGAACTGCCCAATCTTGCTTCTCTATACCCCTCATTCTCCCCAGTCTTATATTATTTTGAAGCAAATCTCAGACATATAATTTATCCACGAATGGATGTTATGGACTGAACATTTGTGTCCCTCCCTACACACCGAAGCCCTGACTCCCAGTGTGCTAAGAATAGGAGATGGGCCTTTGAGAAGTACCAGGGCTAGATGAGGTCAGGAGGGTGGGCCCTTTATTATTGGATTAGATGAGGAAGAGTGAGAGGACACCTCCCCCTTGAAACGAGGAAAGGCCACCTGAGGATAACAGCAAGGAAGTGGCTGTCTGCAGTCTGTAACACAGGCCTCACCAGAAACCTAATCTACTGACACCTTGATCTCGGGCTTCTTGACCTACAGAGCTATGAGAAAATACATTGCGATTTTTTTTTTCTTTCTTAGGGTCTTTTCAGAGAGAAAACAAAAAACTGTTTTCTAAGCCACCCAGTCTATGGCATTTTTTTTTCTTTTTAAAAATTTCTTTCTTTTTTTTTTTCTTTCATGGTATTTTTTAATTACACCTAAAACGTTTCTTTCTTTCTTTTGTTTTTGTTTTTGTTTTTGAGATGGAGTTTCGCTCTTGTTGCCCAAGCTGGAGTGCAGTGGCACAATCTCAGCTCACTGCAACCTCCGCCTCTCGGGTTCAAGCAACTCTTCTGCCTCAGCTTCCCAAGTAGCTGGGATTACAGGCACATGGCACCATGCCTGGCTAAATTTTTTTTTTTTTTTTTTTTTTTTGAGATGGAATTTCACTCTTGTTGCCCATGCTGGAGTGCAGTGGTGCGATCTTGGCTCACTGCAACCTCCGCCTCCCAGGTTCAAGCGATTCTCCTGCCTCAGCCTCCCGAGTAGCTGGGATTACAGGCGTGTGCCACCATGCCCAGCTAATTTTTTTTTTTTTTTTTTTTTTTTTACAAAGACGGGGTTTGTTAGTAGAGATGGGGTTTCTCCATGTTGGTCAGGCTTATCTCGAACTCCCGACCTCAGGTGATCCGCCCACCTTTGCCTCCCAAAGTGCTGGGATTACATGTGTGAGCCACCATGCCTGGGCCTAAAACGTTTCTTAATACCAAATATTCAGTGTTTAAGTTTCCAGTGTGTCTTAAATGTCCATTTTTAAAACTGTTTGAATTAGTATCCAAATACAGTTTTTAGATAAATCCTTTAAGTCTCTTAAAATCTTCATGTTCCCTCTGTCTCTTTTTTTTTCTTTATAACTTGATGAACCTGGCTCATTTGTCTTGAAAAGGTCCCACTGCCTAGACTTTGGTAGTTGGAGCTGGAGGCTGGGTCAGCTTCAGGCTGGATTTTTTGTCGGCAGGACTTTATCATGGGTGTTGCTGTTCTTCCAGCAGGTGCGTGATGTCCGATTACCTCTCCTTTTGGAAATTGGCAGCCATTTATTTTCACATCACTAATTCCCTAAAGGTTGCAAAATGGTGATATTCTCATTTCCCTATGTCTTTTTTTTTTTTTTTTTTTTTTTTTGAGACAGAGTCTTGCTCTGTCGCCCATGCTGGAGTGCAGTGGCTCCATCTTGGCTCACTGCAAGTTCCACCTCCCGGGTTCACGCCATTCCCCTGCCTCAGCCTCCCGAGTAGCTGGGACTACAGGTGCCCGCCACCACGCCGGGCTAATTTTTTGTATTTTTAGTAGAGATGGGGTTTCACCGTGTTAGCCAGGATGGTCTCGATCTCCTGACCTCGTCGTGATCCTCCCGCCTCAGCCTCCCAAAGTGCTGGGATTACAGATGTGAGCCACCGCGCCCGGCCTATGTAACCATTTTCAAAGTGAGTTGGTTCACTGGCATCTTTCAGAGGTGATCGGTTGGCGTGTTTTTGTTGTTCGTTTAGTATGGCTGTGAACTTAATCATTATGAACATACTTGATGTGTTACAGTCCATTGCATTGTTGCCTCGTTGGTGAGCAGGTTGTTCTCCCTTTGGCCAGGGAGAGTCTCTTTCATGTTGGGGTCTAAGATAGAGGCATCTTTGTCAGATTCTTTCCTATCTAGCCTGACAAGATGTTCCGGGCTCATTTTGAACATTTAATGCCCTGATCTGCACTTAGCAATTGCCAAGGAGCCCTGATTCCTTTTAGTGAAAAATAGTATTTCAAGACCATAGTCTGCAAGCTTGGGCTCCTAGTTGCTGTGAGGCCTTTTCAATAGGCAGAGCTAGGAATAGCTAGGCATTTTTGTTTGTTTGTTTTTTGTTTTTGTTTTGTTTTGTTTTGAGACAGGCTCTTACTCTGTTGCCCATGCTGTAGTGCAATGGCACGATCTCAGCCCACTGCAACCTCTGCCTCTCAGGTTCAAGAGATTCTTGTGCCTCAGCCTCCCGAGTAGTGAGTAGCTGGGATTACAGGTGCATGCCATCACATCTGGCTAATTTTTATATTTTTAGTAGAGACAGGGTTTCACCGTGTTGGCCAAGCTGGTCTCAAATTCCCGACCTCAGGTGATCCACCCACCTTGGCCTCCCAAAGCATTGGGATTACAGGCGTGAGCCACCGCACCAGCCTAGGAATTGTTCTTTGTTTTTTGTATTTTTAAGATAAAATACATCATAAGTTCACTCTTTTTGATGAAAACTCAGGGCTGCAGGGTTTTAATTAACAGCTCCATCCTCTGTGTTTTCTCTTTTCCACACTGAAAATCCTAATTCTCATGGGTACTTGAGGAGGCTAGAGTTAGAGGTTCCCCAGCTCATGCTGCTTCAGTCACCTGGAGGGCTTGTGGACACACAGATGGCTGGGTCCATTCCCCATTTCTGATTGAACAGGTCTGGGTGGGGCCTGAGAATGAGCATTTCTAACAAATGCCCAGGTGGTGCTGATGCTGAAGGGCCAGGGGCCACTGAATAGAACATCACACGATTGCTCACTTGCTTTCAGTTGCTTTATCCCTCATTACATAGACTCTGAATAACACTATTAACTCCACCATCAACAACAGGACTAGTGAACACAGGTCTAGAACTGTTTTTGACAGTTCTTATTGGCATTTGGATGTATCCCATAAGGAATGAACAGTCAAATTACTGTAGTTTTAAAGTTACTTGTCATAGCTCCTCTCTCTGAGATTATACCACTAAATGTATATGTATACATTTAAGTTCACTTGTTTTATTTTTCCTGATTATTTTTAGGGAAAACCTTGAAAAAATCTAATTGCTTTATAACTATATAAAATATTTACTTCCAAAATTAAATCTACAAAATGAGGTCTATTTAAAGAAGCCTTGTGTATGTTCTGTCCTCTCCATGCTAACTCCTCCCTTCCTGAGTACTCCATCACAGTTTTTATGGTTTTCCTTCCACGTGAAAAACATCCAAACATATTTGTATTTCCCTTTCTTAGCTTAGACATTGCCAGCTGCACACACTGTCCCACCTCACTTTCCCCCGGACTCCACTCCACGCTAGGAGTATGTTGAGATCATTCTCATTCCATGATGTCGATATTCCGTGGTTTATTCTGCCAGTCCCCTCCTGGTGGAATTTGAGTTGTTTTGTGTTTTACTGTTTCCAGTAGTTGTGCACAGATAGCCTGTCTGTGGCCTTTCCGACGGGCCTGTTGGGATGGAGCCCTGCAGGGCGGGTTGCTGGGCTGAGGCAAATGGTTATGTCACTGTGCTGATGCTGCCTCAGCTCCCTCCTGAGTGCTTGCACCATTGGGAAACTGCCTGTAGGCCTCGCTGAGAAGCCAGCCCTTGAACAAAGCCAGTGGCAAAGGGGAAGTCTGGGGAAAGACCAGTTTGGGAACCCTTCTGTCTAAAGCCTTAAGGCATTGGGGTGCCAGGAACAGGAGTGTCTCTTTTTAACTTGTAAATACAGTACTGTGGTTCAAACTGCTACAGTAATGCTGTGTTTATTTAAAAAATGTATACACTGTTAAAGGCTGATTCCTCAGTATTCTTATATTCAGATGCATTTATCCAGTCTTTTTGTTTTTAAACTCTTGAATTTTAAGTTTGCTCTCTGAGGGCTAGAGAAGGCAACTTGTTTCCTTGATTAGAAGAGTTCATTCAACTTCTTAACATTCTTGGCCTGTGTGTTCTTGTCTTTTAAGTTAAAACAGAAAAAGACTGGGACTTTCTGTCTTTTGACTAGTCTTTACGTGTAGTAGTTCCTTTTCTGCAAATTTCCACAGTAGGAAACTTGATGAACACTAATGTATGGGTTTTCTTTTGACCCCACCTACAGTGGGTAGTATTGTCATATGACTGGGTGCTGGGAGAGAGCAGCAGAGGGCAGGGGTGTGTGTGTGTGTGTGTGTGTGTGTGTGTGTGTGTGTGTGTGTGTGTGTGTGTGTGTGTCAGAGGGAAGGTAGAGACCACAGGAAGGACCTGGAGGAGAGCCAGGCTGAATGGGTATAACGTTAAGCCGGCGATGACATGGCAGGGGGTGTACTGAGTACTTCTTTAGACTTGGCCTTTAAACTTGGTGGTGCAGAACTGTGGGAGGGTTCATTTGCTTTACTTCTCAAATATGTGCCTTCTAATGAAGGGAGGACAGTGTCTATGCTAGAAATGTGGAGTTAGTTGCCTAGTCATCTTAGGGGGTGACTAAACCTTGCTTTCTACCTAGAGAATCTGGATAACATCTGGATCCTTTTTTGTGCTTTCTCGTTGACCTTCACTCCCTGCCCCCACCCCCGACTGCGAAGGCTTTTCACGGACAGATACTCTGGCAGGAGCACCGGGGAGGCTTCCATACCCATGATTATGCATTTGATGTTAGTTTTCACCATGAAAGAGCTCCCAATCTGAAGCATTAATTTTCATTACTGCCTCGACATTATACACGAATTATAGCAAATACTTTATGCATTATTGAACAGGCTGAGATGACTTCCCAGTTTGTAATCTCGGATGTTTTTATCGTCCATTTGAAAGCCCGTTTTACCAAAAGCCATTGAAGAGAAATGAATGTATGGCCTATGGGCAAGCACTTGCATTCCTAGGCTTGAAGACGGTGCCCTCTCTAATCCCGTGTTTTCAAACATGAACTGCCTCATAGTGGATTGCAGCTTTCTTTTGTTAATAGGCTTAAAGAATTATTATTTCTGCAAAATTTTCTGTAAAGCAAATCTTAGATAAATTATACATTTCCTTTGACTTTTTTGTTCAAAAATAGAATCATGGAACCTTGCTTGGAGGGCCTTAAAATTAGTTCATCTCTTGTCTAGTCCAGTCACTCCGCTGCTTTTAGTCGCAACTGGGAGATGACCCAGCCCATGGTTGAGGCCCCCAGCTGTGGGACACTTTCTGTCATTCTTCACCCCCCTCCACCCTCAGGGTCTTCTCTCGTAGGCCACAGCATTTCTTGGGTTGAGCTAAATCCATTTCTCTGTCTTTCTCACCCATTAGTGCTCTGGGGCCTACTAAGCCCTACAGAATAAAGCCAGCCTTTGAAAATAAGACAGCCCATTAGGTGGCCGAGGACAGTGTCTTGTTAACAGGTTGAAACACTCCACATGTCTCCAACAATTTAAGATAAAGTGAGATGTATTTTATTAGAAAACTTACTGTTCCTTTTACCAAGATTATGCTAAAGAATTTGAAGAAAAATTGTCCTGTATCAGAGTATCAGCAAATATTCAGACTCCTTATGTCAAGGTTTTTTTTTCCAACATAAATCTCCAAATAGAAGTATTGACCTTGAAAATATATCATGTCAGGTATTTAGGAAAGCGACAAACTGACTGAACATTCTGTTTTGCTTAGCCACTCTCTCAGGGTTATAATTTTGTGATCCTTTTATACTTTTGTATGAGTAAGACCATCACGGCTTTGCACGTTCAAGAATTGGTTCAGTAAAAAACAGATGACAGAAATGTTCACTCTGTCTGCGGAAGGCCTTTTGGAACCCATATTTTCAGCCAACCATTGTTAAAACAACTGCTGCAGAGTAAGTAGTAAACTTGTTAGAATTAAGAAGTTGGGAAGGAGCACTGGGCAGTATTGAGTCCTAAGCCAAGCTACCTGGGTTCGAATCCCAGCCTTGGCGCTCATTTGCTTGATGTTGGGCCAATTAGGGGAGTTCTTGATGTCTTGGTTTCCATATGAGGGTTCAGGGTGAGTATGCGTGAAGTGCCGGGGGCATAGCAGGCGCACGGTGCTGTCTGGAGGGACGGTAAACAGGTGGCCCTTCTCTTGACTGTGTTACCTAGCAGCTGTTCCATGACCCTAATGTGATGGTTTTGGGAGGTGGGGCCTTTGGGAGGTGATTAGGTCATGTGGCTGGAGTCCCCACAAAAGGGATTAGTGCCCTTATAAAAAAGGGCCCCAGAGATCTCCCTTGCCCCTTCCCCCACGTGAGGGCACAGCAAGACCAAGGTACTCAACCTGCTGAAGCCTTGACTCAGACTTACACCCTCCAGAAATGATAAATAAATTTCTGCTGTTTATAAGCCATCCTAGTTTATTGTATGTTGTTATGGCAGCCTGAACAGAGTAAGACATTGAATTTATTGAAATGTTACCTGTTACACTAAATCACTGAAGTCATCTTTTTGAATTCTTTCCCCCATCGTGTTTCTTATTTGCTTTGAACATAAAAGGTTTTAAATTACACAAGTAATGCATGAATACGTGCTTGTAAAAATCTCAGGGAATACAGTAATAATTCAGGAAATAGCTAAGCCTATGTTAGTAATCTGATTGCATGTAACAGAAAATCCAATTGCAACTGCATAAATAATCCAAAAACTGATTGGTCCATGTAATCAGACCCCAGAGCTCTGCCCCGCTTTCCCGGGGATTCTCTGAACTGGGCTTTCCTCAGCCTGGGGGCCCATCCAGCGGCTCCAGGCGGCACCCTAGAAAGAGTGCCTGTGTCCCTCTGGGTGGCTGCTGCTTGCCATTCCCTCTACATGTCTCTTCCCATCTGGGGACTCCAGTGCCTGCTGTTCAGCCAGGGTGATGCTGTGCTCCCACAGACTTTAGGGATCCATGGCACCCCAGCTTCCTGACCTGCCGCACCCTCTTATCTCCCTGTCTCCCCAGTGGGCATGAGAGCCAATGGTGGGTGTGGAGACGCACAGGGATGGGGGTGTATGTAGTGAAGTTGTGTTTTGAATTGCTCTTATAAATTATTTTGATAGATCTCCTCTGTCACCAAAAAAAGGAGACCTTAGTTATTGGAATAAAAGGCCTGAGTTGTCTCTTAATAAATAGCCTCCTGAGGCAGAACAGTGAACTGGGTGACTTTGTGAACAGGGTTTCTGAGTGTGGGCACATCAGTCTCAAGCCCCGTTTTGGCTCTTAGGAACCACCCTATTAACAAGCGAGTTCCTGCTGGGTTTCGCTCATGCCTCTGTTGCCCGTGGGATTAAAATGAAAATTTAGCCTGGAACGTGCTCTGCCTCGCAGTTCAGCCCGCAGAGCTCTAGTGACTTTTCTGCTTAATGGTTGGGTTAGTTCAGGAAACTACAAAGTCTGTGTTGTTAATTTAATTACCTACCGCGTGAGCCAAGATTGAATTCTTTTGGGCTCTTAAACTTAAGCTGTTCACCATCTTTTTTTTTGTTGTTTGTTTGTTTTTTTGAGACGGAGTCTCGCTCTGTCGCCCGGGCTGGAGTGCAGTGGCGTGATCTCGGCTCACTGCAAGCTCCGCCTCCCGGGTTCACACCATTCTCCTGCCTCAGCCTCCCAAGTAGCTGGGACTACAGGCGCCTGCCACCACACCCAGCTAATTTTTTGTATTTTTAGTAGAGACGGGGTTTCACCGTGTTGTCCAGGATGATCTCTATCACTTGACCTTGTGATCCACCCACCTCGGCCTCCCAATCTGCTGGGATTACAGGCGTGAGCCACTGCGCCCAGCTGCTCTTCACCATCTTTCATGTGCTGGTTCTCCATACCCCATTTTCAAAGGCATCTCTAATTTCATAAGACTTGATGTGAAGATTTAAGAGTTTATTAAAATAATGGTTGTATATGCTGAGAAAATGGTGGTGATTTTTCTTCACATTGTTAATGCAGCGCCTCAGTGGGTTAGAATTGGGCCTTCAAATCTACGCTGGGGCACTGTCTTGGTGTGCTAGGGCTGCCGCCACAGAGTCACACAGTCTGGGTGGCTTAGCACAAATGCGCTGTGTCACAGCTCTGGAGACCAGGTCCAGGCAGCCACAGCATGGGCCTTTGTGTCCTCATGGGGCCTTCCTGCGTTCCTTCTGTCTGTGTGACCAAATCTTCTCTTTACACAAGTCAGTTGGATTAGGGCCCATCCTGAAGACCTCATTTTAACTAAGCTACCTTATCAACTTTGAAGACCTTATCTGCATATGGTTATATTCTGAGGTACTGGATTTTAGGGCTTCAACAGGTAGGTTTTTGTGGGACACAGTTCAGCCCATAACAGGTACTGAGGTCAGATGGTCCCAGGTCAAATTCCTACTTAGGTCAGATGACACTTTTGCCACTGTTGGATGTGCTGATTGACTGGTCATCTTCTAGGTGAACACAGGTTAGAGAGTTAGTCCATGATGGAATGCGAGAGACATTGCTACTTGGTAGTCTCCATTTAGACGAGTCTTACTGTACGGCAGGGTTCCCAGGGAGAAGAGCTTGGAGCAGGTGTTGGAGGCAGTTCCACTTTTACTCTGTACGGATGTTATTTGTATACGTATGTGAAGTAACTGTATTGCAAAGATAGAATGTGAGAGAGAGAGCGAGAGAGTGTGTGTGTGTGTGTGTTTGTAGTTTTATATAGAAAACCAAGTGGAAGAGGAGAAAGCGATTCCATTTAGTTGGCTTACTTTCCACTTAGCAAAGAGTAATGATTTTTATACATTAATCTTGGAACTGTTTAACAGGACAACAGAAATTGGCAATCAAAGTTAAGAAACCAGAGGCTAACTAAAGATTTTCTTCTTTTCTTTTATTGATGTCTTTTCTTTCTTTTTCTTTTTTTTTTGAGATGGAGTTTCGCTCTTGTTGCCCAGGCTGGAGTGCAATGGTGCAATCTTGGCTCACTGCAACCTCCGCCTTCCGGTTCAAGCGATTCTCCTGCCTCAGCCTCCCGAGTAGCTAGGATTACAGGCATGCGCCACCACGCCCGGCTAATTTTGTATTTTTTTAGTAGAGACAAGGTTTCTCCATGTTGGTCAGGCTGGTCTCAAACTCCCTACCTCAGGTGATCTGCCCACCTCGGCCTCCCAAAATGCTGGGATTACAGGTGTGAGCCATCACGCCTGGCCTCTTTTATTGATTTCTAAGATGACTACCAAATAAATGAACAAGATAAAAAGTGATAAGTTCAAACATACTGTTTTTGTGTTAACAAAATGTAGTAATAGTCCCTTTTTAACCACTATGTGCCATGCCTTGTTGGAAGTGACTGACGTGTCTTGTCTCATTTAATCCTCACCAGAGCTCCTCTGGCCGAGCTCTTCTCATTTTCCCATTTCCCATGTCCCCGAGGCACAGGAAGGTTAAATGATCTCCCCAGGTGCAGTCAGCTGGTCAGTGATGGAACTGAGATGGGGACCGGGCAGTGAGGTTACCAGCGCCTTGCCCACTCACCGTGCCATCTGCCCGGAAATGTCATTACCCTTCCTCAGTGACTTGACATTATTATATGAGTTTCAGGAGGTTTTTTATTTTTAGGCTTTTGATAGCAAAATAAGCAGATGTGTTAATGGCACACATCAATTCCCAATGATTTCTTAAAGATCAATATAAAAGCAATTTGGAAAATGGTTTGCTAAAGTAAAGAGGATCCTCTGAGTATAAGAATTTTAGTCATCTATATTAAAAGGTTCTTTTTTAGCCGAAGTGTAATACAGTTATATCATCATTTTATGAGAACAAAATGGATTTTTCATTTCTATTAAAGCAAAGATAAAAGCTGAATTAACACTGAGCGTGCAGCGTAAAGTCGGCCGCAGCTGGATTCCTAACTCGCGTCTGCCACTGTCAGCTCTGTGCACTGAACACGTTGGCCCTCAAAGCTGACTTTCCTCATCTGTGAATTGGGGTCGTGTTTGTGCCTTTCCTCCCAGGAGTTATGGGGAAGACAGAATGAGAGGGTGCCTGGCAGGTGCCTTGTGTAATATTCGCACATGGGGAGCCACCTATAAATTTTAGCTCCTCCTGGCACTTGGTTGAACAGTGAGTTGATTTTGGTGAAGTTTTGGTTTCTTTTTCTCCATGGATTTTGGGCGTCTGGGAGAAAGTGGAGGCTGTAGAACACAGCAAAGCTGGGTGAGGTGGAGCAGGCTCCCTCTCCTAAGCTTTGTGTCCTTGGGGCAAGTTCTTCACCTTCTCTGATCCTTGTTTTCCTTGTGGGGAAAATCACACCCACCCCATGGAGGTGTCACGAGGGTTCAGCTTCATCACATCTGTCCCGTGCTGGGTTTTCCTGAGACGTGTTATGTAGAGGCACAGGTACAGAAGAATCTTGCGATATCGCTTTACTAAACATAAAACTACCTAAAAACACCAATTTATTAAGCTCTAGAGCCATTTTGCATGTATTCACCTAAAAATATGGTAACTGAATTTCTTTCTTCCCTTCATAGGTGCTGGAGATCAGAATTTATTTACCTCTGTTTATCCAACGCTCTCTCAGCAGCTTCCAAGAGAACCAATGGAATGGAGAAGGTATGAGTTGTGTGTTTTTTGGCTGTATCCCTCTCTTCATTTTTTAAAATGAAGTACATGTTTTTAAATAAGTATATGTTGTTTAGACATTTATGTGAACAAGTGAAGTAGCACAAGTTAAAAGCCTCAGTTCTAAAGAAACAGAATGACCTCACATAATCTGTGGGTCTTTGTGGGTCTTATTCTTTATGGAATGCCATGGTTTTCTTTTTTTTTTTTTTTTTTTTTGAGACAGAGTCTCGTTCTGTCGCCCAGGCTGGAGTGCAGTAGCGCAATCTCGGCTCACTGCAACCTCCACCTCCTGGGTTCAAGCAATTCTCCTGCCTCAGCCTCCTGAGTAGCTGGGATTACAGGTGTGCGCTACCGCACCCGGCTAATTTTTGTAGTTTTAGTAGAGACAGGTTTTGCCATGTTGGCCAGGCTGGTCTTGAACTCCTGACCTCAACTGACCCGCCCTCCTCGGCCTCTCAAGGTGCTGGGATTATAGGCATGAGCCACTGTGCCCAGACTACGATGGTTTTTCTTAACGAGACATTGGAAAGTAGAAGCAAGACAATTATTTTGAGTTAAAGACTCACTTTTATAGGAATGATCTGTGATTCTTCATGGTTGACCAGAATGTCTTAAAGGCACAGGCGTTTTGCAAAGGAGACACGTGCTCACTTAGACTCCACCTTAAAGCGGAAGAACTGGGCTGTATCAGCCATCTTACAAGACCCTCCCTCCACCCTGGCTCCTGTGCGTTTTCCTTAAGGACAAGAAGGTAAACAGAAAGATGGTATTTAAAAATTAGGAGCGAGGTTAGATCAGCCATCACCGTTGCTCTGTTGCATGTTTACAGTTAGTCGTCTGGTGACATACTCATAGGAAATCACTGACTGGGAATCCTCTTCTTGGAAAACTTATTTCTGGTAAGAGCAGGTGTTACTTGTAAATATAAAGTTGTGTATATGTAAATGTAAATTTGTAAATTTGGATTTTGTCTTGTAACATAGGTAATCTGATTTTAACCAGGGTATACAGAATTTCCTGTTGTTCTTTGTGTTTATGTAAGTCTGATTCTTATAGCATTATTCCTTTCTGACCACCAGTTTGTGCCTTAGTAACATGAGGGATTAAGGTGGCTTTCTGGAGTTGACTTACCCAGGTGAATATAGTCTAATTTCTGTGCTGATTATAGTGTCTTACAAGATATGCATTTAGTTGCTAATATTTAATATAAAGAGTGTACAGAGTGTAAGAGAAAAATTGCTTAACATGTGAGGAGGCCCAGTGCTGTGAAAGAGAGAAAAGAGTTTAGCAAATGGAGTAATCTGTAAGGGCATTCTGATAGATAAAGGGAAAAAAAAAGTGTGTTCATGAAACAAGATAATTTTGAGAAAAAAATTAAATGGAGAAACTATGTAGGCCCGGCATGGTGGCTCACGCCTGTCATCCAGACACTGTAGGAGGGTCAGGTGGGAGGATCGCTTGAGCCTAGGAGTTCAAGACCGGCCTGAGCAACATAGTGAAACCCCTGTCTCTGTAAAGAAGAAATAAAATTAGCTGGACATGGTGGTGCACGCCTGTAGTCCTAGCCACTTGGGAGGCTGAGGTGAGAGGATCACTTGAGCCCAGGAGTTGGAGGCTACAGTGAGCTGAGATTGCACCACTGCACTCCAGCCTGGGTGACAGAGCAAGACCCTGGCTAAAAAATAAATAAAAAGAAACTGTGTAGATTTAATATTTGTATTCATCTCTTCCCCTTTCCGAAACTCCAGTAAATGGACTACATAAATACTAAACAAATAAATGGACTAAAAAAAATGGACCAAACAAATGCTAAACAAATCACCCTAAAGAACTAAAAAGGCAGACGTGCATAAAGACAGAGAAAGGAGGAGGCAGCGGAGGCCGCAGGATATAGCTGTGTTTTTGGGAGAAAGAGAAACAGGTGGAGGAATTGGGAGAGAAAGCTGAGGAAGTTCAATCCCTTGTGTCTTGTGGCTCCATAAGAGGAGGGGAATTTCTGACAAGGGACAAAGTGCCAGATCTTGGAAGGCCCGGGTGAAAGCAGGGCTGGAGATGGGGGTTGGCAGAGGTGTGGACAGGGACAGTTAGACTCAGGGTCCCCACTCCTGTCTGTAGTGAAGTGATTGCTGTCATTGCCCACTCCCCCAACCCCCCCCCCCACCCCCGCCGCCCCTCAGGAACCTGGAAAGTCTTTCTGTGGACAGAAGAGCTCCAGACCCTCGGATCTGAGGTGCTGCAGAAGGCAAGGGAGAAGGGCCATTCTAAAACCAGCCGGCCTAGGTTCTGAACAGGGCACAGCTCCGCTCCGGGAACTCTGTAGCCAGATCCATGCTTCCTAGGCAAGAGAGTAGAGAACTTATCTCAGGAAAATTGGATGGCCCCAGGGAAAAGACTACGTTTTTCAGAAACAACCTTAAAATTTGGGAAAGAAATGTGTTACCTTAGGGAAGATACGTCCACCTGAAACCTCAGGATGTGTCTTTATTGGAATAAGGGTCTTCGCAGATATGGTTAAGATAAGGACCTCACTGTGAGATCCTCTTCAATTAGGGTAGACCCTGAATCCAATGACAAGTGTCCTTGTAAGAGGCAGAAGAGAAGACACAGACACAGGGTAGAAGACCTTGTGAAGATGGAGGTAGAGATGAGAGTGATGTGTTCATGAGCCGAAGAATGCTGAGGATGCCAGCAGCCAGCAGAAGCTGGGAGAGAAGCAAGGAACCTCCCACTGCAGCCAGAGGGAACTAAGCCCACCCATACCTTGATTTCAACTTTCTGGCCTCATGAAACATGCAAGAATAAGCTAATGTCCTAAGCCTCCAGGTTTGTGGTAGTTTGTGACAGCAGGTCTGGAAACTCATGCAGGAGGGCAGGTTGAGGAGGATGGAGCAGGTACTTGGTGTAGTTTGGATGTGTCCCCAAACATTCTTGCATTGGAAACTTAATTTCTGCCCTCGTGAGTGGATTAATGTTGCTGTCACGGGAGTGGGCTCCTTATCACGTGAGTGGCTTTCTTATCAAAGTGAGCTCTCTTTGGCTCTCTGGCTCTTGCCCTGTCACCATGTGATGCCCTCTGCGGGTTTTGACATACCAAGAAGGCCCTCACCAGATGCTGGCACCTTGATCTTGGACTTCCCAGCCTCCAGAACTGTGAGCGCAATAACCTTCTGTTGCTTATAATTTACCCAGCCTGTGATATTCTGTTACAGCAGCAGAAAACATACCAAGACATGGATGTGTGTGTGTGTTGGTGGGCGGTGAGGAGGAAGAGAGGGAGAGAGAGAAAAGCTTTTCAGTACTCTTTGTATTGAAGTACTTATCTCAGGTCAGCACAGTGGCTCACACTTGTAATCCCAGCACTTGGGAGGCCAAGGCGGGTAGATTGGAGTTTAAGACCAGCCTGGCCAACATGGTGAAACCCTGTCTCTTCTAAAAATACAAAATTAGCCAGGCATGGTGGCACACGCCTGTAATCCCAACTACCCGGGAGGCTGAGGCAGGAGAATTGCTTGAACCTGGGAGGAGGAGATTGCAGTGAGCCAAGATTGCACCATTACACTCCAGCCTGGGTGACAAGAGCAAAACTCTGGCTCAAAAAATAAAATGAAATAAAACAAAAAATAATTACTTTGATAAAAAGTAGAAATTTAAAATTAATTGATTGGATCTAGGAAATGAAAACAATTGAAACAAAGTTTGCCAGATGCACTAAACAGCTGTATAGCTGAAAAGCAAATTAGTGAGCTGGAAGAATTGAGCTTAGAGACTCGGGAGATCATTGCTAAAAGCAGGAATGGGAGAGCATGGAGGAAAAGCTGGCCCTGGAGGATAAATCACGGAGCTCCAGGATCCACCTGAGGGGCTTTTCAGAAGGAAAGTGGAGGGAACAGAGGACAGGTGACATTTGAAGAATGGCTGTCAAGCTTCTCCCAGAAGGGAGTTGGGATACTGCAGGAGCCTAGTGAATGTCAAGCAGAATGAAGAAAACAAAGCAAACAGAAAATCATGCCAGGGAATCAGAGAGAAACAGAAGAAGAACCAAGTAGACAGTTTCTAACAGAACCATTTACAGTGCAACATAAAATACATTTACGAGCAGCCTCCCCACAGTCCTGAGGGAAAGTACCCCAGACCCTAGAATTCTTTATCATTCACAGTGTCATCAAGAGGGAAGACTCTGTCACAGCTTCCCACCCTGAGGGCCTTGCGTGAGCCACAGGTGCTGAGAGATTTTTCCTCTAGGCCCCCGGCTGGCCGTGTGGGGGCCAGGATGGCCAGGAGTTCTGCCCCATCACTTCTGTGTGCAGTTCTGTTCCATCACTTCTGTGTACAGAAAGCCATTCCTGTCTACCCCAGAGTCCCATTCACATATGTTCACTGCTTGTCATGATACGGAGATAGGTGCACTGAAGTGAATACAAATATTTTCAGACATCTATAAGAACAGAAACCTTGCGACCCTCTGAGTAATTAAAGGATGTATCCCAATACGAAGGCAGATGAACCCAGGGATCCAGGGTGAAAGCAACGTCTGCCAGCAACATGACATGTTTTGCTGAAGTTAAGGTGTCACTTTTTAAAAAAATTAAAAATCTAAAATTTCAGATGTGTGTGAAGGAGAACAGAGAGAAGGGGAGATAGACTTTAACTTTAGTCTTTGTAATAAAACCTTAAGTTACGTACTGAGAATTAAAATGCAACCAACGGTAGAATAGAGATAGATGATAAGACTTTCAAACCAGCAGAGAGAAAAGATGGAAAAAGAAAACTTGATTAATCTCCCAAAGGACAGGGGAAAACTAGAGCCGGCAAGTAGAAAATGTACATATTTAAGCATCAGCATAGTCCCATTCATGATGGTTGGTTTTAAGTTATTAAACACAGCACCCTTAGATCGGATGAAAAACAAAATCCAGCTATAACATTCAGAAGAGACGCAGCTGCTAGAAGTGAGAAGTAAAGGCACGGCACAGAGATCCACGCGGTGTGGTTCACTGTTAGAAGCATCGTTAGGCCGTCACTGAGAGCCTTGGATGAGATGCAGGGGGCGTGTGGGATTTCTTGATGGGTTCCTTCTTCTTGGGTTGAGAATAAAGTAGAGGTTTGTCCTGCTATTTTATTTGTGCTCTGCAAACAAAAATATGTTATATTTTCGCCAAATAACTTTGTTTCTTGGATAAAATACAAGTTGTTCCAAAAATACGAATGCAACCCTAAAGCTTTCGTAATTAAAACTGCACTTTGGACATTTGGGACACACTTTTCTTCTTTTATGGTGACATAATTATAGATTCCGTTACACTGAAACCCACCGTCGAGTCTGTAGTGGCCCTGGTTAAATGCAGTACTTGGAAGAATGTATTCCTGTGCCTGTATCCTTGAGGAAAATGAAAGATTTTGTGGAAATGGAGCTTTGACCTGTACACGTGAACTGTGTTTAAAATAATTCCTAGAATGTTTCTGAGCAGAATAGCGTAGTTATGATTTGGGGTTAATATATGTGCTCTGAACTCATGCATACCATTACATTATTTGTTGTTCTATTTCCCCTCTTCTGATGAATGCTGTTTAGTTGTTTTCTCAGTGACTTCAAACAATTGTTTACAGGTCCTATGGCCGGGCTCCGAAGATGATTCACCTAGAGTCTAACTTTGTTCAATTCAAAGAGGAGCTGCTGCCCAAAGAAGGAAACAAAGCTCTGCTCACGTTTCCCTTCCTCCATATTTACTGGACAGAGTGCTGTGTGAGTACCAGCAGGGGAAGAGGATGCGCGGTGGGATGGGGTTGGAGATGCGTGGAGAGTGCTGTGTGAGTACCAGTGGGGGAAGAGGACGCGTGGTGGGGTGGAGTTGGAGATGCGTGGAGAGTGCTGTGTGAGTACCAGTGGGGGAAGAGGACGCGCGGTGGGATGGGGTTGGAAAGGTGTGGGTCTAGGCTTTGTTGAGCCAGCTGTAATTTTTCAAATTTACTTTTTAACATACTCTGTTATAGGTTGTCCCTTCATTCCTTGGCCAAGTGCGGGACTTGCTGTTGCGTGTTTGCGCCCTGGTCTGGCGTGCTGTGCTCACCGTGGCGCCGAGCGTGGTCGTGTTCCCATGTCTCCAGTCTTGTGAGCTGTCTCACTGTGCCCCACGGCTGCCAGGCTTAGTCTAAGCTGTGTTTGATCATGACTTTCAGCTTTGTTTTCATGACCCCTGTGTTCCCATCGTGGCTCCATTGTCCTTGGTCATCTGTTGTTTCTTCTGCTTGTTTGTGACCCCACTGAGGCTAGGACCATGTCCTTCCTCCCTGTTGCCGTGCCTGGGCAGGAGGCGCCCCGTGACTCTCCGTGGAACGAGTGGGCCTCAGCCCTGTGGCCGCCACAGCTTTCACTTGTATTTTCTGGTTGTGTATTCATGAATCCAGAAAGAACCTTTTCGTTCTTGACACACTTCTTCTGTCGTGAACTAATAGAAAATTCTGTGCGGCACTTCTTCCTGTATTTTGAGTCAAATAAAGCAAGATTTAGCAGCATAGAAAGTACATAGATTATTACACACTGTGACATTGTAGCCTAGACCTGAGGCACAGAGGTAGTTGTTGGTGATTTTAATGAGACAGGAACTGTAAGTCTGCACCTGGTTTTCCTCAGATTTCACCTCATGCACCCTTTCTCTGCTGACTTTGCTCCGCCTCCTTTCCCACGGGCTCCACACAGCCAGTGAGGACACACGTGAGGAGATTTCCACCGGGGAAGCCTCTGCCGGAGACTCTGTACCCAAGGTTTTCACCAGGCTGCGCCGTAGGCCCCCTCTGCCTGGCGTGCCTGAGAAGGACACTGTCCCTGGCCTGCTGTGCCAGCTCTTCTCCCCATAACACCTGGTTGTAATGTTCGATTTGATCACTCCTCCAGGAGTTGTCCGGTTCCTCCCTGGCGTGGGGCTGTTGTCCCCTTGCGATCAGTAATCTAACTCTGGGGAGCCACTGTGAGGCGATTTAAGTGTCCTGCCCCTCACCCAGTGGTGATTCTTTCCTGAGCCAGAGTCTTTACTAAGGGTGCTGACCTTTCCACCCATCTCCGTCAGCCCGTCCCCTATTCTGGGGAGCGCCTGCAAGGGCCTTCTGCTCAGGCAGTGGTTAGTCAGTCACCTTTACTGATGCTCAGGTTGTCCCAGATTTGGCCATCAAGAGTCACTTCAGACTGGCACCTGTGTTCTTTTGAGCACTTTCTAATCATTTGAGGCATACCAAGATGTTTTAGGTTCTGGGAGCTCGTTGCCCTTGTGCTGGAGTCAGCCGCGTCTCCATGGAGCCCTGGTTCCTCTGGCAGCAGGCGTGCTTGCTGCCATGGTGGCGTTGCTGCCTCTCCACCCTTTACGCAGACAGAGCTGATAGGGATGTGCCTTAGACATCAAGAACTGGGCCGGTCATGGTGGCTCACGCTTGTAATCCCAGCACTTTGGGAGGCCAAGGCGGGTGGGTCACAAGGTCAGGAGTTTGAGACCAGCCTGGCCAAGATGGTGAAACCCCGTCTCTACTAAAAATACAAAAATTAGCTGGGCGTGGTGGCACATGCCTGTAATCCCAGCTACTCGGTAGGCTGAGGCAGGAGAATTGCTTGAACCTGGGAGTGGAGGTTGCAGTGAGCCGAGATCGTGCTACTGCACTCTAGTCTGGGAGACAGAGCAAGACTCTGTCTCAAAAGAAAAAAAAGAAATCACGAACTGATACTGATGCGTCCAATTTTATAACTTGGAGGGCTCTTTCTTGCCTCTCATTTATTTCTGCTCTCACCAACATCAACACATCTCTGTATTTGCTCAGTGCTACAACGTGCATAAGATAGTTTCAGAATTGGTACACCTGCGCCACAACTAGGAGCAGACCTACTGAGAACAGCTCCAAATTTGCAACTAAACTTTTCCTTTTGGACAGTATGTATCATAGTGTTTATTAACGTCTCCTTCAGCTTCATCCTTTTCAGGGTTTTTGTAGTTAGTCTTGCATGTTTAATTGAGGTATTTTTGTTGTGATCAAACTAAGTTTATAAGTTCCCATATGCAGAACTAACATCTTGATCACGTTGAGACATACTCAAGAGCAAGGGCTGCCTTTCCTTTTGTGCAAGTCTGCTTCTGTGTTTTACACTTTATTTTATTAGAGATTTTTAAAAATTCTCTCTCTCTTTTTTTTTTTAAAGACAAGGTCTTATTCTGTCACTCAGGCCAGAGTGCAGTGGTGGGTTCTTGGGTCACTGCAACCTCAACCTCCCGGGCTCAAGTGATTGTCCTACCTCAGCCTCTTGATTGAGTTGAGACCACAGGCATGCGCCCAGCTAATTTTTTTGTATTTTCTGTAGAGATAGGGTTTTGCCATGTTGGACAGGCTGGTCTTGAATTCCTAGGTTCAAGGGATCCACCTGCCTCCACCTCCCAAAGTTCTGGGATTACAGGTGTGAGCCACGGTGCCTTACAGGGTCTCGCTCTGTCACCCAGGCTGGAGTGCTGGAGTGCAGTGGTGCGATCTTGGTTCACTGCAACCTCCGCCCCTCTAGGCTGACGCCATCCTCCCACCTCAGCCTCCCAAGTAGCTGGGACCACGCCTGCCTTTTTTTTTTTTTTTTGGTGTTTTTAGTAGAGATGGGATCTTACCATGTTGCCCAGGCTGATCTCAAACTCCTGGCCCCAAGTGATCCTCCTGCCTCAGTCCCCTGAAGTGCTGGGACTACAGGTGTGAGCCACTGCGCCCGGCCGCCATAGTTCAATATTGAACTATATTTATTTGCATTGCTGGTATAAATCCCACTTAGTCATAGTATTATTTTCTTAATGTGGTATTAGAGTCTATCACTTGAATTTTATTTAGGAGTTTTTGCATCTATAATTCACAAGTGGTTGATCGGTAACTTTTGTTTTATGCTCTTTTTATGAGGTTTTGGTATTGATGTTCTACTTAATTCATTAAAATAATTTGGAAGTTTTTACTTACTTTCTGTTTCTGAAGTCATTTATGTAGCACTGGCGCTACCTGGTCTCTAAGGTTTGGTGGAATTTTGGGAAACTAGCTGGGCCAGGTACTTTTTTGTAACTCTTTGATGAAAATTGGTCTGTTTTCAGCCATTTGCTAATTTTGATAAAGTACATTTTCTTGGAAATTACGTATTTCGGTTAAGTTGTAAAACTTACTTTCATTGAGGTATATTAAGTGGTCTTTCTTTACTTTTTTTTTTTGCGATGGAGTTTCGCTCTTCTTGCCCAGGCTGGAGTGCAGTGGTGCGATCTTGGCTCACTGCAACCTCTGCCTCTTGGGTTCAAGTGGTTCTCCTGCCTCAGCCTCCCGAGTAGCTGGGATTACAGGCATGCGCCACCACGCCCTGCTAATTTTGTAGTTTGGAGACGGGGTTTCTCCATGTTGGTCAGGCTGGTCTCAAACTCCCGACCTCAGGTGATCTGCCTGCCTCAGCCTCTCAAAGTTTTGGGATTACAGGCGTGAGCCACCACGCCCAGCTTTTTTGACTTTTAAAATGTTTTGTCAGTAATTATTTTCCCATCATTATTTATTTATTATTATTATTATTTTTTGAGACGGACTCTCACTCTGTCACTCAGGCTGTAGTGTAGTGGCGCATTCTCGACTCACTGCAACCTCTGCCTCCCAGGTCCAAGTGATTCTTCTGCCTCAGACTCCCAGTAGCTGGGGTTACAGGCGCCTGCCACCATGCCCGGCTAATTTTTGTATTTTTAGTAGGGATGGGGTTTCACCATGTTGGCCAGGCTGGTCTCAAACTCCTGACATCAGGCGATCTCCCAAAGTGCTGGGATTACAGGCATGAACCACGGCGCCCAGCCCCCATCATTATTTCTTATTTTGTATATTTGTGCTTTCTCTCTTTCTTCCTTGATTAAATTAGCTAGTTCGATTTTTTCCCTCCAGAGAACCAGGATTTTAATGTATTCATCTGATTTATCGTTAGTCTGTTTTCTACTCAAGTTTCTACTTTCATTTGTATTATTTTCTTCTTTTTGTTTTCTCATGGTTTACTTTGTTCATTTTTTAGTTTTCGGGCGTTTGAAATGCATTTATTTTCATTCTTAAATTTTTATTGATATAGGTCTTTAAAGTTAGGAATTTTTCTCTGGTTACTACTTTAAATATATCCCATTGTTTTATCATTATTTTTCAGAAATTCTCTATTTTTGATTTGTATTTCACCCTTTCATTAAATAGTTGTTTAACAGAAAGCTTTTTAGCTTACAGAAAAAAAAAGATTAAAAAAATTTTGTTTAGAAATTTCTAGCTTTATTGCATTGTGTTCAGAAAGTGTTTATATTTTTGCTTTATGAAACTTATTTTTAAAATTTTATGAATTTGACTGTTGTGTGACCTAATAAATGATCAGTTTTTTTGGACATTTCATGTGTGTTTGAGAATGTATTTTCTGTTTCCAGATTGTAATGTTAAATATCCACAAGACCTATCTTACTGCTTGTGTTGTTTAGGTCATTTATATTTTGAATTTTGTCCATTTGACCTATCTTTAACTGACAGTGGTATGGTAAAGTCTTCTGTTAGTGGTGTGTTTCTGTTTCTCTTGCATCTCCTGTAGTTTCTGTTTTGTATAGGTGGTTGATGTATTATTTGGTGCTTAGGTGTTTACAACTTACAGTTTTTATGGAGTGAAATATGTCATTTACAGAATGGCTTCTGGGCAGTGTATCTTGCTTAGGGAGGCCTTGTCTGTCTGAAGAGAACTGATTTTCTGTATTTTATTTTAATAATTTTGTAATTTATGTCTTATATTGGGACCCGTATAGCTTCAAATTATTTATATATATTAGGAGCTCTGGGAGTTGAGGGTCTAATTTTACTGTCTGAATGCATAGCAAATTGGCCTAACACCATTTCATAATAGTGTGTCTTTTCTCCACTTACTGGGAATGTCACCTGTATTTTAAACCAACATCCTGTATGCACAATATTCTAGACACTTTGGTTCTATTGATCATTGTCTATCCTGTGCCAGAATCAGACTTTTAATTATTACGCTTTTTTTTTTTTTTTTTTTTTTGGGATGGAGTCTTACCCTGTTGCCCAGGCTGGAGTGCAGTGGCTTGATCTTGGCTCACTGCAACCTTTACCTCCCGGGTTCAAGCGATTCTTCTGTCCCAGTCTCCTGAGTAGCTGGGACTACAGGCGCCCACCACCACCCCTGGCTAATTTTTGTATTATTAGTGGAGACGGGGTTTCACCATATTGGCCAGGCTGGTCTCAAACTCCTGACCTCGTGATCCACCCGCCTCGGCATCCCAAAGTGCTGGGATTGCAAGCGTGAGCCACCGTGCCTGGCCTATTACACTTTTATAATATGTATCAATATCTTTCTTTTAAAATAAACCTTGTGGCCATCTACATTTTCCCTTCCACATGTCGAGTGTCCAAATTTATTTTCTGAAGATGGCTGTAGCAGCATACCCATCCCACATGCTCCTCTCTATGTGACAGTGACTTTCCCTTGTTGAAAGGCTGGGCCTGTGTTTCCTCCAGTTGAATCTGGGTGGGCCTCTGACTGTGGCAGAAGCAACACTGTGATACTTGAGAGGAAGTCCTAAAAGATAACGTGCCTTCTGCTGGATTCTCTCGGGGTGCTTGTTCTTAGATTCCAGCCACCATGCTGTGGGGAAGCCAAGCAGCCCCGTGGGAAGGCCACTCGCAGGTGTTCAGCCTGCCCCAGCTGAGTCCCACTGTGTGTTTTAGCTCCCAGCCTCAACACGCCACTGACACCAGGTGGAGCAGAGACCTTGGTTCCCACCAAATCCTCTCTCAGTTGTAGATCCGTGAGCAAAAGAAAGTTTTACACCACTATAGCTTGGAGTGGCCTGTTACACAGCAGTAGATAACTGGAATATCAGTTGAAAAAGAGAAGGCTGGAGGCATTTTGATTGGGATTGCCTTGAATAAGTTGTTAATTCATTTGAGAAGAATTTTAATCATGAGTCTTCTTGAATCAGGGAATGTGGTATGTATGTTTTTCCATTCTTTATGACTTTTTTCTGCCCTTATTTTTCGTAAAAGTTTTACATTTTTATTGTTAGCTTTAGCTTTTGTGGCCATTTTGAATGAGACTTTTTTCCTTAAAATTACATTCTAATAGCCTTTTTTTTTTCAAATCTTGATTATCGTCTATTTAAAAAAAGGAGTAAGTTGATAATATTGAGGATTTTAGATTTAAAGTAAAACTCTGTTATGTTGAATAGTTGCTTTAGGACTTATAGAGTACATCTGTAACAGCATAATTCTTCCTTCAAGTAATATGAATTATATTACTTGATGCGTGATATAAGAACTTTGGATCATTGACTTCTGTTTTCTCCCTCCCAGCCTTTGTTATTGTTGTCATACATTTTCTATACTTGTTAAAACCCCATAGTACATTGTTACTATTTTTTGCCTTAAACAGTCTGTTATGCCTTGGAGAGATTAAAATAGAAAATCATGTCTTTTTTTTTTTTTTTTTTTTTTTGAGACAGAGTTTCGCTCTTGTCCAGGCTGGAGTGCAGTGGGGTGATCTCAGCTCACTGCAACCTCCGCCTCCCAGGTTCAATCGATACTCCTGCCTCAGCCTCTGAAGTAGCTGAGATTACAGGCGTCTGCCACCACGCCTGGCTAATTTTTTATATTTTTAGTAGAGATGGGGTTTCTGCCATGTTGGCCAGGCCATTCTTGAACTCCTGACCGCAGGTGATCTGCCCACCTGGGCCTCCTAAAGTGCTGGGATTACAGGTGTGAGCCACTGCACATATTTACCCACCCAGTTTCCATTTCCATTGCTGCCTGTTCCTTTTCTTTAAAATCCCTCCGCCTCCCGGGTTCAAGCGATTCTCCTGCCTCAGCCTCCTGAGTAGCTGGGATTACAGGTGCACACCACCACACCCAGCTCATTTTTGTATTTTTAGTAGAAACGGGGTTTCACCATGTTGGTCAGGCTGGTCTCGAACTCCTGACCTTGTGATCCGCCCGCCTCTGCCTCCCAAAGTGCTTGGATTACAGGCGTGAGCCACCGTGCCCAGCCTTTGTTGCTGTCTCTTCCTTTGTGCAGATCCAGGTTTTCATCTGGTCTGGATTTCCTGCTGACCGAAGGATTTCTGTAACCTTGCTTGTAGTGTAGGTCTGTTACGGTAAGCTCTTTCAGCTTTTGTACATTGGGAAAGTCTATTTTGCCTTAATTTTTGAAAAATATTTTCACTCGTTAGGGAATTCTAGGTTGACAATTTTTTTTTAAAGATGTTTCACCTCTTTTGGGTTCCATTGTTTCCCATGAGAAATCTTTCATTATTATTTTTGTTATTTTGTACAAAAGTGGCTTTTTTTCTTTGCATTTTAAGATTTTTTCTTTCTTTTTTCTTTTTTTGAGAGAGTCTCGCACTGTTGCCCAGGCTGGAGTGCAGTGGAGCAATCTCGGCTCACTGCAACCTCCGCCTCCCGGGTTCAAGCGATTCTCCTGCCTCAGCCTCCTGAGTAGCTGGGATTATAGGTGCCCGCCACCATGCCCAGCTAATTTTTTTTGTATTTTTAGTAGTAGAGACGGGGTTTAACCGTGTTGGCCAGGCTAGTCTCGAGCTCCCGACCTTCTGATTCGCCCACCTCGGCCTCCCAAAGTGCTGGGATTACAGGCGTGAGCCACCGCACCGGGCCAAGATTTTTTTTCTTTATATTGGTTTTTAACAGTTTGATTATGGTATGCTTTGGTGTAGATTTCTTAATATTTCTTGTACTTGGGGTTTGGGGGTTTATTTTTTTTTTCTTTTTTGTGGGGGTGGATATGACCTTTATTGAGCATATCCACCGGAGAGGAAATCATGTTTGTACAAAACCAGATGTTTGTTACTATACCTTCTGCATCACAATTAAAATCCGAGCAGTATTTAAAAAACAGTCAACTCAGTCAAAACCCACTGCTTCAGAATCAATAGCTTCTTTGAAGCCACAGTGACCCTTAAATATGGTTAAGACTCGAATGTAGAAATTTGGTTGGTTGGAAAGCTAATTAAACTTCTAACTTGCTTAAATAGAATTACAGAAAGGTAAATTGTGTTTTTCACAGAGATGCAGTCCACTGGAATCACCAACACTGGACAGCTGGTAGAGTATTTAGAGTCCTGAGAAACAAGGAATCCAGGCATCCTTTAGACAGTCCGCTGTTGTCCCTTCTTCCCAGTCAGAGATTTGTGGGTGTGTGCAGTGACACCACCACCAGCAATTGTAGCCTTGACAAGAGACTCCAGTTCTTCATCTCCAGGAATAGCAAGTTGCAAGTGACAAGGGGTGACACGCTTTACCTTTAAGTTTTTTTTTTTTTTTTGGGGGGAGGATTGAATTTCGCTCTTGTTGCCCAGGCTGGAGTGCAATGGCACGATCTCGGCTCACTGCAACCTCTGCCTCCCGGGTTCAAGCGATTTTCCTGCTTCATCCTCCCGAGTAGCTGGGATTATAGGCAGCCACCACGCCCGGTTAATTTTGTATTTTTAGTAGAGACGGGGTTTCTCCATGTTGGTCAGGCTGGTCTTGAACTTCCAACCTCAGGCGATCCTCCTGCCTTAGCCTCCCAAAGTGCTGGGATTACAGGCATAAGCCACCGCACCCGGCCACCTTTAAGTCTTTTGATGCATTTCCTGCCAGTTCAAGTCCCTCTGCAGCGAGGTACTCCAGGATGGCTGTGTTGTACACAGCGGCAGTCGCGCCCACACGTCCATGACTGGCCGTCCTACATTTCAGGTGTCGATGAATATGGCCCACTGGGAACTGCAAGCCGGCTCTGCGAGCGGGAAACCGCCTTTGTCTTGGCCTTTCTGGAGTCCTTTCCCACCTTACTGCCAGCCATTTCGAATTCTGCTGAAGCTCAAGCAAGCAAGGCAGAGAAAGGGCTAATCAGACCCATGGCGAGATCCCACCACCTACTCCTTCGGCGCACTGTGATTCAAACTGCTTGGGGTTTATAGTTTTGATTTAATTTGGAACATTTTTATTTTATTTTATTTTTGAGGCAGGGTGTTACTCTGTCACCCAGGCTGGAGTGCAGTGGCACCATCTTGTCTCACCACAACCTCTGCCTCCTGGGTTCAAGCGATTCTTGTGCCTCATCTTCATGTAGCTTGAAGTATAGGCGTGTGCCACCGTACCCGGCTAATTTTTGTATTTTTAGTAAAAATGGGGTTTCGCCATGTTGGCCAGGCTGGTCTCAAACTCCTGGCCTCAAGTGATCCCAAAGTGCTGGGATTACAGGCATGAGCCACTGCACATGGCCTGATGTAGAACATTTTTGGTCATTGTTTCCTCAGATTGTTTTTCTGTTGCACCCTCTCTGGGGGAGTATGTGTGTGTGTGTGTGTGTGTGTGTGTGTGTGTGCGCGCACACGCTACATGAAGTTCCATAACTCACTGATAATCTGTTGATATTTTTTGTAGTCCTTTTTCCCTTTTTCTTGGTGTTTCATTTGTGTAATTGCTGCTGCTCTGTCTTCGTGTTAACCTTTTCTTCTGCAGTGTCTAATCGGCTCTCATTCCACTTAGCATATTTTCATTTTAGATTTGAGGTTTTCATCTCTAAAAGTTCCATATGGGTCTTTTTCTTAATTAAGTATCTTCCATGTGTCTTCTTCACTTCAGTCCACTACCTTCTTCAACATATGAAATAACTAAGTGACAGTAGTTACTGTAACTCTTTTAATTGCTTTCTGTGTCATTACTGGGGCTATTTCTATTGATTGATTTTTCCTTTTGAGTATAGCTTTATGATTTGATAGGTCTGGAGCAGTGATCAGTCCAGGACAAATTATTCCTTACAGCCGAGGCAACACAGTCTTGAGTTCCTCTGGTTTTCCAGACTGGCCTATGGGGACAGCCCTGTTCCCTGCCCTGTGTGACTGCCAAGCATGGGTGCCTCTGATCGTGTCTGCGGGTTCTGTTCCAGCAATGGGTGGTTCCCGCATGTACTTACTCGTCAGTTCCCTGTGGAATACTCGAGGGCCCTGTGCCGGTCTACTTTACTCACCATGTCCCTCTCCTCTCCTAACACAGTCCTAGGAAGTCTAGCTGTCTTGATCTCCCTGGCCTGGGCTCTGTGTCCTCAACTCAGGGAGTCTGCCAGCTTCCCCTCTGTCACCCCCTGCCCTCCCCACCCTCTGGTGGGCACCCAGAGGGCTTGCTGGGCTTGTTTCCCATCTCTGAGTGTTGAGGGGAGGAATCATTGTCCTTTGTTCCTTGGTGTCCTGGTCTTGAAAACCACTGATTCATGTTTCTTGGTTTTTGGTGTTTTGTTTTGGTTTTTGTTTGTTTGTTTGTTGTTGTTTTTGAGACAGAGTCTTGCTCTATCACCCAGGCTGGAGTGTAGTAGTGAGATCTCAGCTCACTACAACCTCCACCTCCTGGGGTCAAGCAATTCTCCTGCCTCAGCCTGCTAAATAGCTGGGATTACAGGTGCACGCTACCATGCCCAGCTAATTTTTGCATTTTTCATAGAGACGGGGTTTCACCATGTTGGCCAAGCTGGTCTCGAACTCCTGACCTCAAGTGATCTGCCCACCTCAGCCTCCCAAAGTGCTGAGATTACAGGTGTGAGCCACCATGCCCACCCTGTGTTTTTTTTTTTTTTTTTTTTTGGTTGGTTCAGGCAGTGGTGTAAATCTAGTCCCTGTCACTTCATCTTGGCTAGAAGCAGTTCACTCATTGATTTCTAGCTTTTGATGGAGTGTAATCTATTACTATCATAGTATTAATAATTAATATCATTGATGTGCAGATTGTTCTGAATTTGGCTTCTGTACTGATGTACTGAGAATGTACTGATTCTTTGAGTACTCTCTGGGCTCATCCCCTCCTCTTGCTTCATCTCAGGGCTCAGCCCTGGCTCCTTCCAGTGGGAAACTGTATTTAGAAGTCAGGACCTGGAGCTAGGGGAGAGCTTTGCTGGTGAGCTCTCAGTGGGCATGGCTAGAGAACACGTGTGTACACCCACACGTGTACGTGCACACATTTACATCTGTATTTCGTGTGTAGCTGCTTGTGTACGTACATACATACATGTACACACGAGCCCATTTCAGTCCAGCACTGCAAGGGTGATCCTGGTTTCCTCCCTTCTATGTTTGTAACTCCCTTCTCCACATGGAGGAGCCAGGCACTGGTTCTCCTCTGTGTTTCTGATGGGAGTAATCCCTCTGTGAATGACCATCCTCCTGTCACTGCTGCTCTGCTCCCAGCAGGTGGATGCCCATTCCCACACTTGCCTGGCAGTGTGCCTGGCACAGACTTCCTCCTCACCTCACTTGATCTGCAATTAGGACAGGCTCGGGACTTAAATTGAATAAAAAGGCATCCCTGTCTGGGGGATGCCCTTTGTGCCCTGCTTGGCCCCTTATACCACTTACACCCTTATACCTCTGTGCCAGCCCCAAAATCCTTCATCATCTCACTTGGGGCCTCACATCTTGTTCTGTACTTCCCTCTACTGCCACCTGGACACCCTCCTCACTGCTGAGCTCTGGTACCTGGGGCGGCCTGCTGTGCTTGCCCACCTTGGGCCCTGATGCCCTGCCCCTGGCTGCTGCTGCCTCTGTCTTGGAGCTGGAGCCTTCCCCTCTGACTCAGCTCTTGGGTCCTGCATGTATTCCTGCCCACTGCTCATGGGTTTTCCTGTAGTGACTTTGTTTTCTTTCTTTCTTTTTTTTTTGTTTTTTTTGAGATGGAGTCTCACTCTGTTGCCCAGGATGGAATGCAGTGGCATGATCTCGGCTCACTGCAACCTCCGCCTCCCAGGTTCATACAATTCTCCTGCCTCAGCCTCCTGGGTAGCTGGGACTACAGGCGCCCACCACCACGCATGGCTATTTTTCTATTTTTAGTAGAGATGGGATTTCACTATTTGGCCATGCTGGGACTTTGTTTTCTTTAGAGACCCTTAGCTTCACTGGCTCTGCTGGTCCTCTTAAGAGTCACAGAGTCGTTTTTAACATGTCGTTTTGTTTGCTAGCTGGGATGAGTGATAGGCTGGATCTTGCCAACCGGTTTGCCCCAGGATTATGTGGAACTTCTCTGTACTCCCTCTGTCCTGCCTCATGCTCTGTGAGGTTTCTTCTGGAGAGTTCCTGCAAATTGACTGAGCAGAGCTGCTCTAATGTCCCCTTGGGATGTGGCAGCCCCTGCCCGGTGTGGACAACTTGGAGCCAGGACTCCTTCTGGGGTGGGGGTGGGGAGGAGTCCAGCTAAAGGGCTCTTGGTGGCCTTGTAAGAGGTGGAGAGGCTTCCAGCAGCTCCTTGGATGGCTCACCTGTGACGTGTGGATGGGGTCAGCCGGGTGCTATGTGTATTTTCTTGGCAGTCACAGGCTCTGGGCCCTGTTGGCCTTTTGGTTTTGCTTCCAGGCATGGCGTGTTGGGGCTTCCAGCACAGAATGGTTCACCAGTGCTGTAAAATCTATGCTTCAAGTCCCAAGAACTGCCGTGCTGTGGAAAATGTGCACTAGATAATTAAGTTACTGTTGGGTATTTATTTGCAGGAAATTGAGTTTACCAGTTGGTTTTAATCTCAGTTTTCAAAGTAAAAGATCTTTTCAGATTGTATGATATTTGTAATTTAAATCAGGACATAGCAGTTTTTAAAATCAGGATACAAATGAGAAGTACTGCCTTTTGGAACTTTCTATTTAGTTAGTTAAACCAAAAGAGAGGCTGGGTACAGAATTTAGGATTTAATATTTTTTTTTTGGAGACGCAGTCTCGCTCTGTCGCCCAGGCTGGAGTGCAGTGGTGCGATCTTGACTCACTACAACCTCCGCCTCCCAGTTCAAGCAATTCCCCTGCCTCAGCCTCCTGAGTAGCTGGGACTACAGGTGCACACCGCCATGCCCGGCTAATCTTTCCATTTTTAGTAGAGATGGGGTTTCACCATGTTGCCCAAGCTGGTCTTGAACTCCTGAGCTCAGGCAATCCACCCACCTTAGCCTCCCAAAGTGCTAGGATTACAGGTGTGAGCCACTGTGCCTGGCCAGGATTTAAGATTTAACTCACTCGTGGATACTCTGATTGGCTTCTCTCTGCCTGAGTGTTACTCAAGAGTGACTTGAAAGTCCGGAGGAATTAGGGCAGGACAGTGAGGAACTAGCAAAAGAGGAGAAAGCACTGATTTAGATGGTAGCTGTGAGTTACTGTGTCCAGATATTGTCAGTGCCTAACTTGGAAATGAATTAAGTATCTTGGTTTTAGATTTTCTAAATCTAAAGGGAGTTGGACTCTTCTGAGTGGATTTATGGAATAGAAGCGCAGTTATAAGTGATAACAGGCAAAGTGTCTGTTTTCCTGGTTCTTTATGGAAGAGAACCAAGCTGAAGGCCTTGGCATGTATGTAGAAAGGGCCCTTTCTCTGGCAGGCTCATGCTTGGGCCTCTGCGTGAGAAGCAGGATTGATTTCTGGGATGGCACGGCTCCCTGCTGCCTGTCGGGAAGTAGAGCAGCCTTGCGGAAGCTGCAGGTCGCCTTCTTTCTGAGGTCTCACAGCTGTAGCTGCTTGCCTCTGACACGGCCTTCGCAGACTTGCGGTTGGGGTGGTTCCCAGGGGTACAGAGCTCAGAGGCTGTGGTAGAAGCTGCCGGGAAGCTTGCCTGGGGTTCCTGTGGGCAGTCTGGGCTGTGCCATGACAGCCAGCTTGCCTCCTGAGATGAAGGCACGGCACACAGCAGGATGGCAGTCATGTAGTGCTTGGGCCCAGAGCTGTTGGCCATAGTGGGCCTGGGTTTTAAAGCCCTGACTTGCCTAACAGACAGTATTGCTGTGGGCAGCTCACTCAACCCTCTGACTCTCAGTCTCTTTATCTGGATCACTGGGACGCTCACATCCCTTGGGGTTGTGAGAACTGGGGATCATGCATGCCTGTGTGCGGCACTGAGACCCACAGAGCACGCCCGCAGGCTTGCTAGGCCGCTGGGCTTTTTATTCAATTTAAGTCCCGAGCCTGTCCTGATGCTTTAAAACATTGCGGCCTTTGCAGGCTGTTATTAGGCACATTTTGCTGTATAAACTAAAGGGCATTAGTTAACCTGCTTTCACAGTGACTTGTTTGTTTTTAGGATACCGAAGTGTATAAAGCTACAGTAAAAGATGACCTCACCAAGTGGCAGAATGTTCTGAAGGCTCATAGCTCTGTGGACTGGTTAATAGTGATAGTTGAAAATGATGCCAAGAAAAAAAACAAAACCAACATCCTTCCCCGAACCTCTATTGTGGACAAAATAAGAAATGATTTTTGTAATAAACAGAGTGACAGGTAAGTGTATCTTTAATTTTACCTCATTTGGTTAATACTTGACATGATACAGATTGCTGGCTTCCTGGGTAGTAATAAATATTTACTCAGCAATCTCGAGTGAGTGTCCATGGGGTGCTGTCAAGGAGACCTGGTGCCTGTCCTTGTGGAGTTCCTGTTTAGGCAGGCAAAGAACTCGAAGCAGTCATCCCCCGAGTGTGCTGCCTGGGAGGAGCGGGTCTTGGGCCCATAGTCCTGGGAGGCCTCTTGGTGGGTCCTTTCTGAAGACTGACAGCAGCAGCTCCTGCAGTTCTTCTGTAGAACGGGTCCTTAAAGGTTTTTGTTTTTTTTTTGAAATGACGGCACCTGTGTTTTTTTCTTTACCTTAACACCTGAGAGTTCCTAAGAACACAAGTTATAAAATGCTGACCTAACCCCTTCAGAAACTGTGAAAGGGAATCCTGAAACTTTGGCAGTTAATAGATTGTATGGGCTTTCTCCGCCTTGCCCTGCTCTCTCTCCTGGGGTAGCTCACTCCCTTTCTCTTCAGTGATGCCATTGCCAGCTGAGCCAGCCAGCACGTTAACTCCTCTATAACCGATGGTCTGTATCTCGTAGCTTAGCACTGGAACTCACCCAAGGCCTGGGGATTCAGGGGCGAACATGGACCCTGCCCTGGTCCAGCAGGTCATTATAGCCATGGTCACCATGCTTATGGTGGCGAGGGTTCAGATGGAGGTACATGCTCATTGTAGAATTATTAGAAAAAGGTAATGAGCAAAAAGAAAATGGATATTAACTCTTAGTATTTTGGTATGTATGTTCTGAGACTTTTTTTCTTTATGCATACATAATACGTGTGTGTATTTTAAGTTAATATAACGTTATGTGTTGTTTATACTTGTTTTTTTCACTCAATATATTGTAAAGATTTTCCACAAACAATAAATGCATTTCCAGACTCTCAGTGTTAGTGAGTGGATAATATTCCATAGTATTAATGTGCCGTAAGTTATTTATACATTCTGCTGCTGGGCTTAGGTTATTGCTTACTTATCGTTATAAACAACAATATTAGAATACTTTTCTAGCTCAAATGTTGTGAGCATCCTTAATTATTTCAGGATACCTTCCCTAAAGGAAAATTGCTTGGTAACAGATTTTGTGCATTTTTTGGGCTTTTGCTAGTTACGAGGCTGGTAGAGGCAAGGGTTGACTTGTGATCAGCAGTGTGACTTGTGACAGCAGTAGCCGTTGTGGTGTCTCGCTGAGGCTGCAGCCGGGAGCCCCTTGTTCCACATGTGCCTCCAGCCCCTGCAGTCTGCGCGCCTGGGGGGATCACGCCGCTCTCCAGATTGGCCCACCATCCCTGACTTCATTCGTTGTTTTGGGCTCTCCTTTTCTGAGTTAATGATTTAGGCTTGATGTGAACTTCTGAAGTGTAGTTCTTTTTTACTTAAAAAAAATTGATGATGATATAGAAACAGGATCTAATAGAGATAGGACATTTCATGACTGTGTATCTGATTGACCTCTGAAAACAGTTACTGTTTTGGTGGTTGGCACTTGTTAAGTTTCCATTTCCATTCACCCCTGTAGGCGCACAGGAGAATTCGCGTCTGGTCGGGAATAAATGTTGGTAATTATAATCCTTGAGAATGCCTTAAGGATAAACTACCTAACTCATAGGTTCTAGCAAGCTCCTACTGTGGATAAATACAAGTTAGTCCTCTGGGGGACCTTTGGAGTGAGCGGCTCTGGTCCCTTTGTCTTTGAGGGAAGAAAGTGTGCAGTGGGGTGGATTGAATGGAATTAAAGCCAGCCACCAAGTTATAAGTTTTCTTCTTGGTTCTGGTTGTTCACATGGTGGAACATGTAGAGTGTATGCTGCTTCACTGTTTTGTCCACTGATTTATAATTCCATGAATTTAGCCATGCCTCCAAAGGATATGCTGGGGCACGGAAAAAAGGAACTTAGAGTCAGTTCATTTTGCTACTTTTTGGTAATTCAAGTAAAATATTTACTAAGGAGAACTGGTGAAGCTCATAGAATCAATGTTTTAAAATTATTTCTGAGTTCAGATTTATTAATCATCTTTCTAGATTACTATTACCAAGGCTAAAGAAATTTACCATTTCCAGCCTATCAGATAAATACGTTGCCTTGTCCAAATCTGTTGGGAACTTTGTGTAATTTCGTGTGTTTGACCTTTTTACATCATGGGTTCAGCCTCTTTGTAATTAAACTGTTTGCTCTATATGTTAAGCCATGTTCTAAGCCTTTATTTGTTAATTGTTTATTAACCTTCCCCTTCAAGAGCTCACAGGCTAGTGGGAGGGATAGAGGTCCAGAGAAGGGGAGTGTTTTCCTGTGAGGCCCACAGCCTAGCAGCAGTGTGGGCAGAGCAGTTGGGATGGTGATTGGGGGAGGTTTGTGAAGATGCCACGCCTGGGTGGAAGGAATGTTCTCATGAAGAGAGGAGAGCGGGAGAAGGTCAGCAGGCTTGAGCTGGGAAGCAGAGGAAGTAAAGTGAGACATCGTGGTCCTTTTGTGCTGTGCTGAGAAATCTAAATTTATCCTGTCGATCCCAAGGAACCAAAATGGATTTTGAAGGAGGCAGGGAACTGAGTGAGGCGTGATCACATTATTTTACAGAGGACTCAGAGCTGCGTCTTTGGCTCAGGGCTCATGTAAATCCCTTTCCCCCTTTCCAGTTGATTCTATAGCAAACTCTCCTTTGAATTTCTGTAGAACTTACTGCTCGTGTTCATGACCAGTTCATGATGAAGCCTTTTCCTAACCTGGTTTCTTACCGCCTGCCTCATGTTTTTGACTGTTTATAGACGGAAGAAGCTAGATGCGGTGGCTTATGCCTATAATCCCAGCACTTTGAGAGGCCGAGGCAGGAGGATTGTTTGAGCCCAGGAGTTCGAGACCAGCCTGGGCAACATAGCAAGACCTCACCTTTACAAAAAAATACAAAAATTAACCAGGCATGGTGGTGCGTGCCTGTGATCCCAGCTACTGGGGAGGATCACTGGAGCCTGGGAGGTGGAGGTTGCAGTGAGCCAAGATTGTGCCACTGCACTCCAGCCTGGGCCACAGAGCAAAACTCTGTCTCAAAAAAAAAAAAAAAAGGAGGAGGAAGGAAGAAAATTGCCGCTCAGGACAATGGCAGCTGCTGAGTCGTGGTGCTGTGCATGGAGGGTCTTTCCCAGATAGTCTGTTCATGTCTTTGCAGGTGTGTTGTGCTCTCCGACCCCTTGAAGGACTCTTCTCGAACTCAGGAATCCTGGAATGCCTTCCTGACCAAACTCAGGACATTGCTTCTTATGTCTTTTACCAAAAACCTAGGCAAGTTTGAGGATGACATGAGAACCTTGAGGGAGAAGAGGACTGAGCCAGGCTGGAGCTTTTGTGAATATTTCATGGTTCAGGTACTTGACTCATTACAGAACTAGACAGTTCCTTCTCTCCTTCCCTCCTTTGTTCCCTCCCTCTCTCCTCCTTTCTTTCTAAGTAAGGCACCTCTCGTGGTAATCTCATTGGCAGAGTTTTTAAAAACAAAAAACCTGGAATATCTTTAGGACTAGAAAGGAAGTGTATGGAAGCAGATGGGGCATGAAAAGGACACACACACTGCCCCGGGGAGCCTCTGGGGGCAAAAGCTGGAGCAGTTTCAGTGACAGAATAAATAAGGATAGAGTCGAGGTTTAACCCATGGAATAAAATTAATATCCATGAGTCTGTATCGATAGAAATCATCAGTTAAATAAATAAATGGAGGAGAAGGGTCAACTCTTCCATACAGAAGAATTCCACTTAAACGCAGAAGGAAAGAAAAACAGAAAATCACTTTTAAGCCAGTGCTCCAGCAAGAACTGTTGGAGGCAGGATTACTGATGGGTGTCCGGGGTGGTGGGCAAAGGCCTGAGAAGAGGTGGGCTTGCACAGTCTCACGGTGGCCCCCCAAGATGTCTGTCAGCTACTGAGGGAGCAGTAGCCACTCCACAGTGGGGAAACCAGGTACATACCACCTGAATGAAATGATAAGGCCGCTTCTGCCCATGAGAAGCTGTGTCCACCTCATGAAATCCTTGGTAAGATGTTCTGAGAAATACTTAGCGTCTTTTCTCTGTAAAAAATGATCATCTCACGGCAGTCACGGAACATATCAAATGAACCCACGTAAAGGGACATTAGACAACATAGCTCTCTTCAAGGGTGCCACGGCAGTGAAAGACAGACTGTGAAGCTGACAGACTGCAGGGGCTGAAGGAAGCAACAGCTCCGGCCTGGTTTGGGGGTCGAGGGTGGGGTCTTAGAGCAGAAACAACTACATCAGTGGAAAAACCACTGAAATTCCAATGAGGGCTATTTAGTTAATAGTATTATACTTAGGTTAATTTTCTGGTTGTGACAATTGTACCACGGTCATATAAGATGGCAATGTTTAGGAAGCTGAGTAAGGGCTATATGGAAACTAGATAATTTTTTTTTTTGCAATATTTCTGTAAGTCTAAGATTAGTTCAGAATTTAAAATGAGTAAGGAAGGAAATTCTGACACACACTACAGCATGGATGGGCCTAGAGGACATGATGCCGAGTGAAATAAGGCACATAGGGACAGATGCTGTGTCTGCTTATGTGAGGTCCCTCGAGTGCTCAGGTTCAGAGACAGAAGGTGGAATGGGGGCTGCCAGGGGCTGGCAGAGGGAGAATGGGAATGAGTGTTTAATAAAGGACAGAGGTTCCGTTTGGGAAGATGAGAAAGTTTGGGATATTGGTTGCACAATAGTGTGAGTGCATTTAACACTACTGAGCTGTAGTCTTCTCTCTCTCTCTCTCTTTTTTTTTTTATGATGGAGTCTTGCTCTGTCACCAAGGGCTGGCGTGCAGTGGTGCGATCTCGGCTCACTGCAACCTCCATCTCCCAGGTTTAAGCGATTCTCCTGCCTCAGTCCCGAGTAGCTGGGATTACAGGTCTGCGCCACCACGCCCAGCTAATTTTTGTATTTTTAGTAGAGATGGGGTTTTGCCATATTGCCCAGGCTGGTCTCAAACTCCTGGCCTCAAGTGATCCTCGCAAAGTGCTGGAATTACAAGCCTGAGCCACTGCACCCGGCCTGAGCTGTACTTTTAAAAATGGTTAAGATGGTCAGTTTTATATTACATACATTTCAATCAAAATTTAAAAGAAAAAGATGAGTTTATTAGAGTGCTGAGTCTTGTAAATACTTCACAAATAAAATGAAGTTCAACATAACTTAGCAGTTTCTCTTGCAAAACACAGCCCACCACTGTTTTCACGGGAAACAGGATACAAAGGAGAGCTCTCAGTTCTCACCTAGTGAGTGGGACCTGGGTGGGCCCTTAGGGGTCTGGGAATAATGTCCACAAATACATGGGGTGGAACTGGATTCCAAAGACCTGACCATGTCAGGGGAGGTTTATGTGCGTGCACATCCTCCTGGTCTTTACTTTTTAATGTGCAGTAATGGAGATCAGAAGGCAATCACCTGTTGCCCTCTCTTTTCATTTTCTCATTCAACAAAGGTTACTGAGCACGGACAGGTGCCAGGCCCTCCTTGATGCTGGGACGCCGTCAGTGTACAGTTTTTTGTGAGCTTGTGTGACAGTGGAGGAGATACAGGAAAGGAAGTGACGCATATGCTAGGGCGAGAGAGAGGCACAAGGCAGAGATGGTGTGGGGTGCTGTGCGGGTCAGGAGGAGGAAAGGCCTGACTGGGCTGGGGACTTAGCCAGAGCTGAAGGAGTTTGGAGAGCAAGCCATGTGGGTGTATAGAGGAAGAGGAGGTGTTCCAGGCCATGGAGTGGGGCAGCGCACAGGTCCCGAGGCAGCTCCCTGCCACGCACACGTGAGCAGCGGTGAGGAGGCCTTGGTGGTGGAGCTGAGTGAGGCCAGAGGGCTGGTGCTGGGAAGGGGTGGGGGTGGGGGACATAGATTTTGCAGGGCCTGGGGATGTCTCGAAAGGATTTAGGAGTCTCTTGAATGTGATGAGCAGTCGCTGACTGAAATGGGGAAGACCGTGGGTGGAGCACTTTGTGGGAAAGGTTGGGGTTCAGGTTTCCATGTGTAAGCCTGAGCTGTCTGTTAGGCATCCACACAAGCGTGCTGTGCCTGCCATTGGAGCCAGAGTCAGGTCTGAGCTGGAGTCCTGAATGTGTGGTGGTCATGCTGTGTAGATGGGCTCCGTCATGGAGAGGGAATAGTGAGTGTAGACAGGGAAGTCCAAGGGCGGAGCCCTGCGGCCTCCAGCAGAGAGCCTCGGGGAGCGAGAGGAACCAGCCGTCTGACCAGAGGGAGCCACAGTGAGGGGCGAGGGGAGCAGGTGGCCAGGTCCTGGACAGCAGGAAACATCCCAAGGACAGGGGGGTGACCAGTTATATCTGGTGCTGCCGATAGGTCGGGGAGGGTTCAGAAATTACCTTAGCTTTTCCTAGCTTCTTGTGCATGCGTGAATGTTGACATATGCGGTCGTCACATTGGTTGTTACTTAGCGGAGCGTAGACATTATTCATAGTGCTGCGTGCCTTTCTCTGTCGTTTAATGGCTACATACTGTTTCTTCTATACATTGATTTATGTTTTTGTTTTTTTAAAAAACGTATCTTGGGCGAATAGGAGGAGCTTGCCTTTGTTTTCGAGATGCTGCAGCAGTTCGAGGACGCCCTGGTGCAGTACGACGAACTGGACGCCCTCTTCTCTCAGTATGTGGTCAACTTCGGGGCCGGGGGTGAGTAGTGGCACTTCAGTAACGCATGCTTTTCTTAGTGTGGCTTTCTCCAACTTCAGATAGGCTTGAAGCAGCCATTTATTTACCTCAGGAGTACGCATGTTTTGTTGTTGTCTTTATACACATTATATCGGATATATTCTCGTGATTCCTAGAGGAAATGAAATGAGAATTAAGAATTAGTCATTTTCACTTTTAGAAGAATCTTAAGTAACAAAAATAATAATAATTTAAAAAAACTGTTTTCCAGGTATAAAATGTCCTTTCCACAACTCAGTGGCCTGCTGGTGATGCTTCGATTCTGTCCCTCGTTAGAATCAGAGTGGACGTCCCTTTGCCTTCCATCCAGGGGTTATCTTTGGAATGCTCGAGTGCTCATTGCTGTGAACTTATAAAATGCCCTTGGGTGTTCATCTTTCTTTTGCACTTTTAAATAATATCTTAAGCTCCTTTACAATTAAAGAATTAGCACAGTGAAACCATACACAGAGAGAAACATTGGTTATTGTCCTCAGTGTTTTTCGCTGATACTTATTTTGATGAAAGTGATACCACGTTATATAGCTGTTTCTCTGTCGCTCCTTTTTGTTACTCACAGCCCATCCTGGGCATCTCTCCAGGTTAGCAGGTGGGGTTTGGAGTTGTTTTTGTTACAATTGGTATTCCTGGCTTGATTCCATTACCTGGTGTTGGACATTGGGTTCTTTTATGCTTCTTGCCACCACAAGCAGTGCTGTAGTGGGCATCTCTGCCAGGTGTTCTTTTTGAGAACCCTTGTCACCATGTGTGAAGGAAGGAGTAATTTTGAGGAGCCCTGGTGTCAGCAGGAGAACCTGGAGGGAGATGAAGTGTGGGGACGGTCAGTTCTAGCTGTGAGCACTGTCCTCACTCTGGAACTCATCAGTGGCGCCGATGGATACTGGCTCATAGTGCTTCTGAAGATCAGGTCTGGATATCTCACTCTCCTGAGATGCCAGTATAGACACAGAACCAAAGCAAAGTGTTTACTAAGTAAAAAAATAAAATAAAAAAACACTTCTATTTCTTATATTTTATGTGTCTTTTTTTTTTTTTTTTTTGAAATGGAGTCTTGCACTGTTGCCCAGGCTGGAGTGCAGTGGCACAATCTCGGCTCACTGCAAGCTTTGCCTCCCGGGTTCATGCCATTCATGCCATTCTCCTGCCTCAGCAGTGGGACTGGGACTACAGGCGCCTGCCACCACGCCTGGCTAATGTTTTGTATTTTTAGTAGAGACGGGTTTTCACCATGTTAGCCAGGATGGTCTCGATCTCCTGACCTCGTGATCCGCCTCAGCCTCCCAAAGTGCTGGGATTGCAGGTGTGAGCCACCATGCCCGGCCTTATGTGTCCATATTATACAAACATATCTATTTATTTATTTTTGAGACAGTGTCTCACTCTGTCCCCCAGGCTGGAGGGCAGTGGTGTGATCTTGGCCCACTGCAACCTCTGCCTCCAGGGTTCAAGCGATTTTCGTGCCTAAGCCTCCTGAGTAGCTGGGATTACAGGTGCATGCCACCATACCTGGCTAATTTCTATATTTTTAGTAGAAACGGGGTTTCACCATGTTGGCCAGGCTGGTCTCGAACTCCTGGCCCCAAGTGATCCTCTTGCCTCGGCTTCCCAAAGTGCTGGGATTATAGTTGTGAGCCACCATGCCCAGCCTATACATACATACATACACACACACACACACACACACACACACACACTTTTTTTTTGAGACGGAGTCTTGCTTTGTTGCCAGGCTGGAGTGCAGTGGTGTGATCTTGGCTCACTGCAACCTTCTCCTCCTGATTTCAAGCGATTCTCTTGCCTCAGCCTCCCAAATAGCTGGGACTACAGGTGCGCACCACCACGCCCAGCTAATTTATTTATTTATTTTAATTTTAATTTAATTTAATTTTATTTTATTTTTTGAGACGGAGTCTTGCTCTGTAGCCCAGGCTGGAGTGCAGTGGCGCCATCTCGGCTCACTGCAACCTCCGCCTCCCGGGTTCACGCCATTCTCCTGCCTCAGCCTCCTGAGTAGCTGCGACTACAGGTGCCCGCCACCAAGCCCGGCTAATTTTTTTTTGTATTTTTAGTAGAGACGGGGTTTCACCGTGTTAGCCAGGATGGTCTCGATCTCCTCGTGATCTGCCCACCTCAGCCTCCCAAAGTGCTGGGATTACAGGCGTGAGCCACTGCGCCTGGCCAATTTTTTTATTTTTAGTAGAGTTGGGGTTTCACCTTGTTGGCCAGGCTGGTCTCGATCTCTTAACCTCGTGATTCGCCCGCCTCAGCCTCCCAAAGTGCTGGGATTACAGGCGTGAGCCACCGCACCTGGCCTGTATTTTTTAAATATCTTACATTTTTTTAAAAAATAGATTTATTTAGCAAAAAACGTTTGAATTTAATAAAGAAATGGCAATAACTGGTGCATACATTAGTTGAAAATATTAAAATATTTACACTGAGCACCAAATAGAATAATTCTCAGTCTTTTCATGGAGAACTCCTTTGAAAGAATGCCTAGAACTTAATCTGTTTATTTAGGTTTTTAATCGAGAAATCTAAAACTGCCAATCACAGTTTCTAATTACCATGAGATGACCAGGTTAACAACCTTGAGGTCATATCATAGGAGCTTTAAAAGCTGCGTTTAACCTATACATTCTAACTGAGGGCATTTGTTAGCCTCAGGCAGGCTGGTAATCACAGGTCCATGTGCTTGTGATGCCATATACACAACATTGAGTAAATAAGTGTTATTTATAAGGTAAAGACCATATGGTCCCTGGCAGCAGAATAGGTGCTGGGCAGCGTCAGGGACCAGGCACCTGAATGGATGTCAGTGCATGTGAGAAGGAGCCTTCAAGGCTGAAATATCTTACATATTTCTTATATTTGACATAATTTATTTGGTTTTTTCTCTCAGTTTTAAAATTTGGGGCAATTTAAAATCCAAAAGTAAGCCTGGACCAAATTTTGCCACTGAATAAGATGGTTCGTTTTTGTTCTTTCATTCAACAAATACTTACTGAGGGACCACCATGTGCCAGGCACTGTTCTAAATACAGGGAGGAATAAAGCAGAATCCCTTTTTTTATGATGCTTACATGAAGGGGAAACAGGCACAGAAAAGTAAATCTATCACTTGCTGTCCATAATAGTAAGTTTGGGCCGTAGAAAGGGGCTCAGGTGAGAGATGGGGCAGTATGTGCCATTGGAGCTTAGATAGGGCACTGGAGTGGCCTCCCTGTGGGGGCGGCACTGGCACAGAGGCCTGACTGAAATGTGGGAGTGCCCCGTGAGAATCCTGTGGGAGGGGAGCCTAGCCAAGGGAACTGCTGGTACAGGGCTGGGCTGGTACAGGGCTGGGTCCACTCCACACTGCTGGGTGCTCCAATAGCCCTGAGGATGCTGGTGCAGGGGCTGGGCCAGCGGGTCCACTCCACACTGCTGGGTGCTCCAATAGCCCTGAGGATGCTGGTGCAGGGGCTGGGCTGGCAGGTCCACACCACACCACTATGCGCTCCCCGGGTCTGAGGAGAAGCTCACGTCAGTGAAGGGAGCGTTTAACCATGCCAGGATGCCACGTAGGAATGAACTGGTTATGACACCTCTCTGTTGAAGTGAGAAAAATAGATTCAAAGATTTTTTTCAATAATGATTGATGGACTTGTTATTATACATTGTTATGCTTATTTTAAGATCATATTTGAGTCTTAGGGATGTAAGTAAACCTCTGGGAGCCTTGCTGAAATTTTCGACAAGCAGTAATTCTTTTTCCTTCTATGTGCTGCTACCAAGTCCTCCCTGTCCCTTCCTCCAGGAGCTTGACTCAGGGACGTGACGTGGTTGAGTTAGGGAAATAAGGAAGGAATATGTAATCTAAGGAAGACCAAAAAACACCAGGATGGTCAGAGCAGGCTGCACTCCAGCCCACAGGTAAAGATAAGGAAGCCCAGCCCCGCTGCAGCCTAAGACTAGAGCCCTCCCTCGGCCTGAGACAGAGCCTGAGCTCCCCTAACCATGTAGCCTGTCTGTCTCTGGGTGACTTCCCAACCTGTTCAGCTCCCGCCCATGACTTTCTGGGCATGGTAGGGTGGTGTGCCTTGTTGCCTGGGTCACGTTACCCTCAGCTCGGCTGTCAGTGCTGGGAGCCGAATGCATCACTAGACCACAGGGGGTGGGCCAGTGTTCATAGAAAAACTGGTTATGAAGCTGCCTGTTTGCCCACCATCCTCAGCCTGAGCAGGAAGCTCAGGAAGGTGAAGTACCTGCAATCAGCACCTTTCATGATGTGTGTTTGTTTAGATGGTGCCAACTGGCTGACTTTTTTCTGCCAGCCAGTGAAGAGCTGGAACGGATTGATCCTCCGAAAACCCATAGATATGGAGAAGCGGGAATCGATCCAGAGGCGAGAAGCCACCCTGTTAGATCTGCGCAGTTACCTGTTCTCTCGCCAGTGCACCTTGCTGCTCTTCCTGCAGAGGCCGTGGGAGGTGGCCCAGCGCGCCCTAGAGCTGCTGCACAACTGCGTGCAGGAACTGAAGCTCTTAGAAGTGAGTCGGCTGTTTTCCCAATTTACCCGTTTCTTGATTGTTCCAGCAGAAATCTCTGAACCTTGAGATCCCAGGCATTGAACTGTTTGTGCTTAAGAAAGGGTTTTCTTTTCTGAATGCCTTTAATTTTCAGTATATTGTTTGCTTAGTTACTTTTTACGTTGATAAATTGCTCAAAAATAGAACTCTGTTCTCAACATGCTGGAGTTTGTGCCGGTCCAGAGCAAGCCTCTTAGATGAGCTTCTCAGTGAAGCTCACTGGCTGACTGCGGCCTGTGCTGCTGCGTGAGCTGTCTCCACGGGGAAGAGTCACTCACCTGAGGGACACGCAGAGCTAGATTTTGCATGTAGACATTTATTTTATTTCAGACACTTATGTCATGTAGACATTTATTTATTTGTCTTTTCAGATAAATAGTTTTGCACATGGCCATGCAGGTAGCAATGTGAGTGACACACAGCAGGCTGTGCCCCATTGATTAGTAGTACGGAGCTTCATGGAAGATATGTCATAAATATGTGTGTGTGTGTGTGTGTGTGTGTGTGTGTGTGTGAGTGTGAGAATGTAGTTAGTAAAACATTTGCCCTTAGAGATAAATTCACCCAAGCACTGAACTCTTACTGTCCATAGAACCACGGACATTGTAGTGAGATGAAAGGACTGTAGAGACCGTATCTAGTCTGGTGATTCTTGTTTCAGGGTCCTCTTTACCCAAAACAATTCACACACACACAAAATGATACTTACGACCTGAGGATTTGTGTACATCCCTGCCACCCATCCCCTGGTTAAGATCTCCTGAGTGAGTGGTCTCTGATGCTGTTTTGTAAACAAGAAAACGGAGTCTGGAAGTGATTAGGTCTGAAGAGTATAAGCCATTGATGGGGACGGTGTTTCATAATATAGGAACTTATTTTTGTGTGCTTGGTTTAAAATAATTTTAAGAGATTTAAACTTTAATTAATGAAGAGAAATATATTTTAGTTAATTTCAAAAGGAGAAGTTCTTATTTCAGAGCTAAGCTCATTAGTACCTAGCCCAAGTCACAAACTCAGAAACTTAAGAATTTTTATCAAATGATTTTTCTTCACCTAATGAAGCAAATGAGGAAAAGAAACATTTTCCACCTCGAAATGACCCTCTGGGCTGCCTGTAATCACCTGGATTTAGAGACTCTGCCTGGGTTGCTCAGCCCTAACTGCAGGTTGGGGACGGGGCTGTGAGGGAACCATTCACTCCTAGAGCCGGGCTCTCTGTTCATGTGTACCTAGGGATTTCACCTGATGTTGAGATTTTTGTCTTACTAGCCGGGAGGGGGGAAAATTGAAGTATTCAAGTCCAAATGATTCAGACATGATGTCTTCTGAGTGAGACGACCCCAGGAGGCTGATTGGAGAGGGCTGTTAGTTTTGTTATTACCTTGTGGCTGGAAGGAGAAATGTGTAAGTAATAGAGGGTGTGGGCTCTGGAGTTCCCTTGTAGCGTCGGGGTTCACAGGAGCCATACGGGGTCTGTTGGCTCCTCTAGGTGCTCGTCTGCAGGGCCGGGAAGTCACAGGTATTTTCAAGGCTTTGTATCGTGTGAGGAGCCTCTTATCCGTGGTGTATTTTCCGAGCCCTTTGCTTTGCTGAATGAAGTTGTTGTCCCCTTGGCCTTTCCTTGAGTGGAAGCTGCCCCATTGCTTTTAGTCATAGCTATTGCACCTCTTTGCACGGTTGAGTTCTGCATCTCCAGTGAGAGGAGGTGGCCAAAGGTGAATGCTGGATTTGAGGCAAGGACGTGTCACCCACTGATGACTTTCTCACAGTCTGTCAGTCTCTTTCCTTCTAAGAACCCGCTTCCTGTTTCGTCATCTTCTGATGCACACAGCTGGCTGCGCCTCCTTACATGCGCTGTGCCTGTCGGCTTCCCAGGCCAGAGAGGACAGCCTCCCTTGTCGCTTGTGTTGAAGCCCACACAATCCTCTTTGCACACTTTGCACCTGTGTTTGATCAACACTGAGATTCACACTGTTTACTTAGAGGGCTTCGCTGGTAACTTCACGTCAGAAGTGTTTCTCTTTCTCTCCTTTTTTCTAAATTTTTAAATTTTTTGGTAGAGATGAGTGTCTCACTGTGTCGCCCAGGCTGGTCTGGAACTTCCGGGCTCAAGTGATCTTCCCTGCTCCCCTCCCAAAGTGCTGGGATTACAGGTCTGAGCTGCCCGTGGCTGTGTTTTTCTCTCTTGTGCAGTAGTTTTTACTCCAGTCTAGTTGTTAGGATTTTTTGGTGAGAGTCAGGTTTTAGGGCTACAGTTGAGCAGAGGCCAGGGGGTAGGTGTGCCACTGTCAGTTGCAGATCCCACTGTCCCACTTTCGAGTGGGTGGCTTATAAAACATGTCCTGCTAACATCCTGGTTGCTTTACCAGTTGATTTGAAGTACCTCATTTATTTAAAGAGAATAGGAGGCAACGAAGTGGCCAGCTGTGATGGAAACTAGCCCTGCTCTGTAGTAGGGCTTGATCCACACTCCAGGGGCGACGGGGGCTGAGGAGGGGAGCAAGACGGCCGGATAGAGGCCTCTGCCCTGTGGGTGCTGCTTACTAGCCTTGCGCACTCCCTTAATGGAAAATGTGTTAAGAATGGAGATTGTGCCTACCTTGCACAGCTGGCTGCTGGGGTGAGCGGTAACACCCGTGAAGTGAGGCCAGTTCTGCGTGAGTTCAGGATCCTCCTTGACAGAGTATTTCCTTTTTTTTTCTGTAACAATTTCTAATTTTCCCTCCATTTACAAAAGTTGAATGTTTTCTTTATGTAAATTTGGAAAATAACAGACAAATATACGAAGAAAATGTCGTTGCTTTTGCTAGCAGGAAGAGGTTCCCTTTTTTTGTCCATGGCCTTCTTATGTATAGATGAACTGCAGTTATTTCCTTGCTCCTATTTGGACATTTGAATTCTTCAAAATTCTTTGCAATTGCAGCAGTTTGTATCCTTATACATACATCTTTGTGTGTAAATTCATACAAGTAGAATTGGAAGGTCGAAGATAGACATGTTTTTAAAGCTATATGTTGTTAATTTGTCCTCCAGAAAGGTCTTCCCATTTTCAGTCATGCTAGTGATGCCTGTTTTCCTGCACCTTTGGTAAGAAAAAAGTATGATACTTATATATTTTGTCGCCAAATTAGAAGAACGGGGAAGATACTTTCTTGAAGGCCATAATGTGTTTGTTACAATGATTGCCCAAGTGATTTTTTGGGGGGGTTTGGAATGTGTTTCATTCAGCGTTTGACCTTTTATCACCTTAGCTGCTGGTTATGTAACAGACCGTGTGGGCCTAGCAGGGTCAGGACTCCTCCAGACCCCAGGGGAGTCACCAGCCTAGCCTGTGGCACGGAGGAACCGTGCATGGGACGCCGTCGGAGTTAGCTGGCCGGTTTGTGAACAGAGGCTGTGTGTGGCCAACCTGCAGGTTGAACCAGAGGAAGAAGAAGGTTTACAGTCAAAGCTGGCCAGCTGGGATCGGTATTCTGAGGTGCAGGCCTGGCAGAGGACAAAGGCAGAGATGTAGTGTGGGAATGTAGATTGTGTTTGCTGAGGGCTTACAGTGTACCCGACACCCTGCTGGGTGGGTGCTCTCATGTGTAGGTGGAGGATCTTGTGCACCCATGAGCCATGAGGGGGAGGAGCTGGATTGAAGGAGGAGGGGTGGTTGTGAGAGCTGTTGCTGAAGAAGAACTGATGGCTCACTGGACAAAAGGAAAGAGAGGACTGTCAAGAATCATTCAAGAAACGTTTCCTTGCCTGCCAGGCACTGTGGGAGACAGGGATGGGGGTGCACATAAATGAAGAGGAAAGGGCCCCACCTACCGGCATGAGGTGCCACGGGTCATCAGCACAGTGTCCAAGTAGTGACGAAGTGTTGTCTGCACACAGGGGACTGTAAGGGAGGGAAAGGCAGCTTTGCCGGATGCCTCAGGTCAGCTTGGTAAACATTTGCAGGTGCCTGATAGGTGCTAGGGAAGCTTTCTAGAGGAGGCCCTATGTGAACTCCATTAAAAAGATTCATTCAGGCTGGGCACAGTGGCTCAAGCCTGTAATCCTGGCACTTTGGGAGGTCGAGGTGGGCGGATCATGAGGTCAGGAGTTCCAGACCAGCCTGGCCAATATGGTGAAACCCTGTCTCTACTAAAAATACAAAAATTAGCTGGGCGTGATGGCAGGCGCCTGTAATCCCAGCTACTCGGGAGGCTGGGGCGGGAGAATTGCTTGAACCTGGGAGGCAGAGGTTGCAGTGAGCCGAGATCATGCCACTGCACTCCAACTGGGCAAAAGAGTGAGACTCCGTCTCAAAAAAAAAAAAAAAAGGACTCATTCACTTATCAGATCTTCATTGAGCTTCTGTTTTGTGCCAACCATTGTGGTAGGCACTGTATTTTCAGCAGAGAGTGAAATAGAATTCCTGGCCTTATGAAGCTTACGTGCTAAGGAATGAGTAGGGGGAGTAAGAACTCACCAGGTAGATGTGACTGCTGGTGGCGCGGGAGAGTGCGTTTCAGGTGGAGAAGATGGTGTTATTGAAGGTGCTCTGGAGGAGCCTGGTCTTGCTAGAACTTCAGGGGTGAGGCAGGCTTTGGGGGCAATGAAGGGAAATTCTGAAGTTCTTTGTGTGTCACGTTGAAGCTTGCCCTTTGTTCTGTAGCCAGTAGGGAGCCATGAAAGGTTAGGACCTAGTGAGGCAGAGGGCAGAGAGAGGCAGAGAGAGGTGAAGAGTTTGGAAACTTCTGCCATAGTCCAAGGGAAAAGACGGAGTTCCAAAAGGCAGTTGAGGTAGATTTTATTTTTTATTATTATTATTTGAAACACTCTGTTGCCCAGGCTGGAGTACAGTGGTGTGATCTTGGCTCATTGTAGCCTCCGCCTCCAGGGTTCAGGCAATTCTCCTGCCTCAGCCAGTCAAGTAGCCAGGATTACAGGTGCGCACCACCATGCCCGGCTAATTTTTGTATTTTTTGGCAGAGATGGGGTTTCACTATGTTGCCCAGGCTGGTCTTGAACTCCTGAGCGCAAGTGATCTACCCTCCTCAGCCTCCCGAAGTGCCAGGATTACAGGCGTGAGCTATTGCACCCAGCCGGCAGATTTTAAATAAATAGGTTCAAGAAAAATTTAGTGAATTGATGGTTCTGGGTCCACTGGATATCCATATATAAAAACAAATCTTGATCTCACCCCATAAACAAAATTAATTCCAGGTGGAGTTTTGATCTAAACATGAAAAATAAAATAAGAAAACTCTTGAAGATAACTTGGGAAAATGTCTTTGGGACCTTAAGGTTGGCAAATATTCCTTAAATAGGACATGAAACCTTTATGGTTATGCACCAGCCGTGAAGGAAGAGGGTCCTGCATTAGACTACGTAAACATCAGTGCTTCTCTTCACTGAAAGGTACTCTGAAGGGAGTGAAAAGGCCCTCCGCAGCTTGGAAGAGTACAACCAGTATATATAGACAAGAAAGGGCCCTTACTCCAGGGCGTACTGTGAAGAACTCACATACATCAATGCAGAAAGACTGACAAACCAGTAGAAAAACAGGCAAGAGAGGAAATCCAAATGGCCGATAAACATGAAAAGGGGCTCAGTCTCATGAATCATAGCAAAATGCAAACTGAAGCCATTATTAATGAAGTACCAGCACACACCACCAGAATGGCCAGGATGGAAAGGCTTTCCTCGGGTATCAGTGGGAGGGTGGAGATGCTGGCGCTCATTCACTGATGGTAGTGTGCATCACTGGGACCACTTTGGAAGGCTGTTTGCGATATCTAATGGGTATCGCCATTACAACACATGCCCCGTGACCCAGCACATCCACCCCTGGTGTGTACAGATACATGCACACACACATGCATCAGAAGGCAAGTACACAGAGATACCTGTGGCACCCGTGAGTCATTGGAGCTGCAAACGGGGAAGAACTCAAATGTTCATCTTGTCCAAGGGATGACAACGTTGCACCGTGGCCCTGTAGTGTGCTAGGGTACAGTGATGAACGTGAATGGGTCGTAGTGGATGACTCTAACCAACCTGAAGTTGAGCTAAAGAAGTTAGACACAAGAGAAGGCATACTTTTTTTTTTTTTCTGAGATGGAGTCTTGCTCTGTTTCCCAGGCTGGAGTGCAGTGGCGTGATCTTGGCTCACTGCAACCTCTGCCTCCCGGGTTGAAGCGATAAGAGAGGGCATACTTTTTGATTCCTTGTGTCTGAAGTTCACGGTGAAGCTACACCAGTCTGCTGTGAGCTCTCTGGCAGGTGGAGGGGCTGGTGACTGGCAGGGAGTTCCAGCGGGAGCTGCCTTCACGGGAGGCATAGCAGGCGTTCACCTAGGACTCATGTACCTTCCAGTGTGTGGGTTGCACTCAAGTGGTAGGGGTATCAAAAGAGAGAAGAACAAGAATGCCTTTAATTTTATACTTGGAAGTGGCAAGATGGCACTTGCCATTGCTAATACAGCAATCAGGAGAGGAGGAGGGACTTTAAGGAAAATTAATATAAATTAAGAATTTGTTTAAGAAGTCTGTTATTCACAAAAGATGATATCCAGATGGCCAAGAGGTATCTGATGGCCCATTAGGGAAATGTGAGTTTTCTGGAGACGGTGAGGCCACCACCCGGTTCCAGAGTGAGGTGACCAAGCTGCACGCTCTGCCATTCAGTCTCAGGCTCTCAGGGCAGAGCGGAGGCTTGGTCTTTGTTGTGTTGGGTGCTGTGGCATGCTGGGTGGCAGATGCCACCATAGAGGCATGGCCTTCGTGCTGTTGGCTGAGGTGCCCATTTTCTGTGTCGGCCACCATTTAGGAGCAAGGGGCTGACATTTGTTTGGACGACTCAAAGCCATGAAGCCATGGCTGCAGAACAATTGCTCTTTTCCAGAGTTTGTGAGACTCTTGTTTTTTATTCTCAAGCTGCACTCTAATGGGTAAAATAAGCCAGGGTGGCTCTGGCACTCTCTGTCCCCTTCCCCCGAGCTCTTGCGTCTCTGCTGCAGGGATGCTGGTGGGAGAAGAGTGCTGGCACTGCCTGTGTTCTGCTGTGAGTAGCCTGGCGCACTTGGGCCTGGGGGCGTCTTCGGACCCTGAGAAGTCATCCCTCCGTTGAGGCAGGGGTAACATTGCAAATAGCTTTACCCATAGTAGCCAAACACTGGAAACAACCCAGACACTTGATAGGAGTGGATAAATAAACTGTGGCCAACTTGTAGAAAGGTTTAATAAGCAGCAGTGAAAAAGAACAGGCCGACAGACTCAGCAAGGTTGAATCTTAAAGATACTGTGTGGAATTAAAGAAGCCCCATGCACAAAGGAGGACATGCTGTGTGATTTCATTATATGAAGTTCACAAATCAGCCAGAAGGAATTGATGGTGGCCGAAGTCAGGAGCCGGGTGCCTCTTTGGGGTGGATCTTGACCGGGAAAAGGGACTTGAGAGAACCTTCTAGGATAATTTTATTTCTTGATTAGGTGGTGGTTACATTTGTAAAAATCATCGACCTCTAAATTTAGGGTTTGTGCCCTTCACATACCTTGTTGTATGCATTTTGCCACTTGTTTTTTCAAAGCAATGAAAAAGTATCACTGCAATTAGGTTTTAAATAAATTTGTTTCGTTAACATGTCTGGAAGTCTTAGATGTCTTACTGTGGAAGGTCTCGCTGCTGTGGAGCCCACCTCTTTCAGGCCCTCTAAAGTATAGAGAAGAAGCAGAGTGCTCGGCCCCCTTTGGGGTGTTACCTGGGGTTTGGGTGGGAGCTAAGAGACACACACAGTAAGTAGTAACATACGAGGCAGGCGGCTCTGCAAGGCGGCACTGCAGAAAGGGTTGTGTATGCCACATCATATGCCAAATTCACATGCATGTCTTTTTTTCCCCATAAAAACTGAAATTTTAAAATGATCTGTGATAGGAAATACAGGGAGCTGTGATTCTCCTGGGAAATAAAGGCACTTAGAGCATGGAGCCGGTGAGAACTCGCAGCGGAGACCAGAGCAGGCCCGGGGGAGGCTTTGCACTTTGGGAGGTGTGAGTTCCAGAGGGAGGGGTGGCCGAGCTCACCTTCAGGTTTCTGTTATTCAGTGAAAGCCTGCCCTTGTTCCTTGGCGTGGGTGTGTGCAGGACCTGCCTGCTCTCTCCCACCTCCTTCAGGATGGAAGTTGAAGGTGAAGTCTCAGCAGCCAGTGGCCAATGGGTGCCACTGGATTTTGTTGTTTGTACCCCAGAAAAGCTGCCGCTACCTGATGCTGCTACTTTTTTAATACTGTCGTTCAAGCTTACCAAAGCGGGACTTGCTCTTTGCAGGAAAAAAATATACAAAGAACTATTCTATAATCATGCCATGCAGTAATTAATGCCACTGTTGGCATTTTGGTGGTATCATTTGGGAGCCTTTCTGGGGTGCACCTGTGCTGTCAGGTGGCGCCTCAGCTCTCGGCTGCTGCTGTTCCCTGCGGACTCAGTTCAGCGCCTGGTCGCGGAGCGGCCCTCGTGCCCTGGCTGCTCTTGCTTCTGCATCCAGCGTCCTCTGCCGCGGCTCCGCTGCTGTGGCTCCTGGGCTTTATCTCCCTTCTCTGTGGATGCATCTTTACCAAAAGCACTGTACGTCTTCCTGCTTTGTAAGAGTCTCTCGTGGTCTCCTAGGAGGTGTTTGTTTGTTTGTTTGTTTTGTGTTTCGCTATTGTTGCCCAGGCTGGAGTGCAATGGCATGATCTTGGCTCACCGCAACCTCCGCCTCCCGGGTTCAAATGATTCTCCTGTCTAAGCCTCTCGAGTAGCTGGGATTACAGGTGCATGCCACCACACCCGGCTAATTTTTGTATTTTTAGTAGAGATGGGGTTTCATCATATTGGTCAGGCTGGTCTCAAACTCCTGACCTCAGGTGATCTGCCCACCTCGGCCTCCCAACGTGCTGAGATTACAGGCGTGAGCCACCGCGCCCGGCCTCTCCTAGGAGGTCTTTCTGTCACCAGTGTGTGCCCAGGGGAGGTGCCTGTTTACAGAAGCTTTTGCGCAGTGGGTACTGATGGTGGTAGCGTCTTGGGAGATGAAAAGTATCCCAGATCTCCTGGCACCTGGGAACCAGGCGGGCCTGCAAGGTGCGGTCAGCCCGCTCCAGGCCTGCTGTGGTTTGACTGATGAGGACGCTCATCAATCGGAGGGACACGCTCTGTCCAGGATCTCAGAGCTGCTTCCTGCTGCCCCGCTTTTCTGTGCCTTCCCTCAGTGTGGTATGTTTGGGTGAGAGAGTTGTGCAGCTTTATGAAAGTGGCTTCCGATTATGCAGTTTTTGACCTACACTGATTTTTTTTTCCCAAAAGGTTTAAGTAGCTTATCTTATTTTTCAGAAGTTGGGCTTTTTAGCTTTTATGGGAACATTTGATGGCACTCTTTGGTTCTTCCTTGTTGGTTCCAGGTCCTTTATTTGTGCTCAGGGTGCCTTGCAAGAGTTCTTATGGGAGTCAGTTTCCCCGGCATTGGCAGCTCATCACCTGTTGACTGGTGATTTGAAGAGCACAGGTGAACACATTTCACCAAAACTAGGACACATCATGAAGTCAGTGCCACCAGAGAAAAAGTCAGCATTGCCACTTAAAAGTGTAAGATGCCACTTGATTAAGAGAAACATTCCTATTTCAGAAGTGCTAAAATGTGGGGGAAAACTGCATCTTATACAGCAGGCGATTTTGCTTTTCTGATAGTGTTTTCTTTTTTTTGTTTTTTAAGTGGAAAGGCTCAAGTAAATACAGAAGCAGAGAGGATAACATAATTCCCATGTAGGACCCATGAACAGTTACAGTAGGCGCGGTACCTGGCCAGCCTCTACTTCATCTGCATCCTCGTTCACTTGCCCTGGGACGTTTTTCAAATACAGACATTGGGTTTCACCTGTAAATACTGCAGTGTATAGGGAGCAATAGGGAGCTCTTTTTCCCAAACATAAATATACTGTCTTTATCACGCCTGAAGAGTGAACTGTAATTCCTCGTGTGATATTTCTACTCGGTATTCAGTTTCTGCTGTTGAACGTGATCTTTCTTAAATGTGACCAAGCAGTCATTTGAGGTCTTAGTTTTCCCTCCCCTCTTGACACTAATCTGTGGCCAATCCTCACTCTTGGAGTAAATGATCATATTTGGTCTTTTTCTAGGTTTTTCCTTTTTTTAAAAAAAAATTCTTTTTCTATATATATTTTTCAGATCTAGACCTGCAGAGGCTTTTTCTTAATAAGGTTTTCAAAAATACAATAATTGAAAGTTATACATAAAACCTGATAACACATTTGAATATAGGTCACACTGCTTCTCTCTTCCCATGTGAATGTAGGTGATTAGTGTTCTTTGCCCCTTTCTCTCTCCTGTAGCTCTGCATATCACAGAACTGTTAGATGAGGTGGCTGCTTGAAGGATGGAGGGTTTTGCACGTTCAAGCTAGAGCATGTGGGTTTGTTCAAGCTAGAGCTGTCCCGGAGCACCCCTCACACGTTCGCATTTGCACCCCCACAGGTCTCTGTCCCACCTGGTGCTCTGGACTGCTGGGTGTTTCTGAGCTGTCTGGAGGTGTTGCAGAGGATAGAAGGCTGCTGTGACCGGGCACAGATCGACTCAAACATTGCCCACACTGTGGGGCTATGGAGCTATGCCACAGAAAAGGTGCCTACCTGCCCAAGTGTGGAATGCTCACGTTGTCTCTGCGGCCATGCCTGGGTGGCGGAGGAAGTCTGCTGTTTGGAGGAGAGGTGTTGCTCATTTAGATCACGATGCATCCACTTTAGTGGCCCTAGAAGGTGTCTGGGTGCAGCCAAAGAAGTCATAGTTCCCTACCACATGTCGATGTAGTCAGCAGACAGCAAGCACTTGCTGTGCTCCTGTGAAATTGACTCTGTACCCTGAGTCGGGGGACACGAGGGTGGTGCTGAAATGTCAGCTCACCAGGCAGAGCTGTGCTGGTGTGTGCAGCAGGTAGGCTGGGCTTATGCAGGTGCAGGCGTAGCCTGGGGAACTCAGGGAGGTGAAGGACAGAAGCGGAGGATTCCCACCCTCCAAGCCTCACTGGGAGCTGTTGTGTAGGATGTATTTTTGTATCCAGATTTGAGTCATTGGGTAGGAAAGCTAAATTTCTTCTAGAATTTAGCTGGATTTGAATTTTTATATTTAAATTCTTGAATTCCCTGCTGACTCTTACGGCAAATTAATTGAAATTGTGGATTTATCTTAACAGTTAAAGTCCTTGGGCTATCTATGTGGACTTGTGTCAGAGAAAGGACCTAACTCAGAAGATCTCAACAGGACAGTTGACCTTTTGGCAGGTTTGGGAGCTGAGCGACCAGAAACAGGTACTTTTTTGTATATACCTGTGTGAGTGGTGAGGTGGACAGTAATGAAAATGTCCTTTGCAAGTTGGCACATTTAACCGAAGTTCTAAGAGTAATCATATTACTCACCATTTGGAAAATTATACCCATTGTTAGCTGACTGGATTAAAGCACATGATAGTTTACCTTTTAACAGCATAATGCAATATTAGAAATAGTTGAAGAAATTGGAAGGAGTTTCAGAAATGTAGCTGAGTTTCTCCTGGGCTTAAGGGACTTTATAGCTCATGTTCAAATGCACCACTGTCTCTCTGAATTACAGATGATCTGTTTTTCTAACAATACGACCTGACGATTTTTTTTTTTTTTAAGAGACAGGGTCTCACTCTGTTGCCCAGACTGGAGTGTAGTGGCACAATCTTGGCTCACTGCAGCCTCGACCTCCTGGGCTCAAGGGATCCTCTTGCCTCACCCTCCCAGGTAGCTGGGACTACAGGTGTGTGCTACCATACTTGGCTAATTTTTTAATTTTTTGTAGAGATGGAGTCTCGCTGTATTGCCCAGGCTGGTCTCAAACTCCTGGCCTAAAGTGATCCTCCTGCCCTGGCCTCCCAGCAAATTTTTTAAAATAAATTGGCTGGGCACGGTGGCTCCCACCTGTAATCCCAGCACTTTGGGAGGCCGAGGTGGGCGGATCACCTGAGGTCAGGAATTCGAGACCAGCCTGACCAACATGGAGAAACCCCATCTCTACTAAAAATACAAAATTAGCCGGGTGTGGTGGTGCATGCCTGTAATCCCAGCTATTCGGGAGGCTGAGGCAGGAGAATCGCTTGAACCTGGGAGGTGGAGGTTGTGGTGAACAAAGATTGCTCCATTGCACTCCAGCCTGGGCAACAAGAGCAAAACTCTGTCAAAAAAAAAAAAAAATTCTCCTGGATAATAAGGCTCTTTGAAAGGAGGATTACTCATTGTTTTACGTAGGAATATATGATGAGTATTATTTAGCAAGACTGTTGCTAAAGAATATCTGATGAGCTGAAAACATTCTTAGTAAATTGAATAAATGTTTAAGGGAAAAAATACGTAGTATTTATATTTCATTGTTTCAACTTGAGACCATTTCAGATCACTTCGGAAGTAATTTAATTCATCGGAGTATTTGTAATATATGTTTCTAAAAAAGTTTAGTTCTAAAGATCAGAGAAAAAGCATGACACAAAGCGTTTTGACTATTTTATGAATATGTGAATTGAAAGAGAATGTACATAATCATGTAGTTTCCGTTGGCATTGGCCGGTTTGTAATTTCACAAGAGTCAGATGAGGTCATCTACCTGCAGTATGTGAAGGTGAATGTAAAGTCATGTGACTGGACATGATGAAGATGAAGAGGGACTCTCGTTTCTTTCTGTTTAAGCCAACACAGCTCAGAGTCCTTATAAGAAACTGAAAGAAGCATTATCGTCAGTGGAAGCTTTTGAAAAACACTACTTAGTAAGTATTAACAAGTGTTCAATGTCTGTTCTGTGAATACCTGTCTCTAGAAGGCTTTGCTACATGGCCTGTTGAGTTGGGAAGGAACTGGTGTGGGGGGCCCCTTCTTGTTGGTTTTTTTTAGTTTCTTTGGTACCTGGGGAGTTGTGGACAAAACATGGAGTAGTTCATCAAATGTGTATTAGTGCCCATGGTACCATGCTAGGCATGGAATCATCTTTGAATATTTACCGTTTTGTTCAAATTGGGTTTGCTCACACAGAAATTATAAGAGAGGCTAGTGAATACTTTTCTTTGTAAAAAGGAGTAATTTGGACTTGGGCAGAGCTATTGTATTTGATTTTGAAAGACTTAAATTAGCAAAACTTTAAAAAACGGCGTAGGCAGAAGTGTGGTGGGTCAGCGTCATTCCCGGGTCATGGGCAACTTGAGCGTTTGGTCTGCCCGTAATGGCTGTACCTCTTATACACACAAGTATGAAAAATACCCAGCATGTCACCCACGTGCAGAAAGTCCTTGGAAAAGTTAGATGTTTTGGATGAGTTTGTGGGTTTCTTTTATTATTATGCTTCATAATTTATACACAGGTTACCAATTTTGCTTATATATTACAGAAAAATTCACAAAAATAGATGCAAAGGAAAAAATAATGTTACATTATTAGCAATGTCTTCTGCGGGCTGGGCATGGTGGCTCACGCCTGTAATTCAGCACTTTGGGAGGCTGAGGCAGGTGGATCACTTGAGGTCAGGAGTTTGAGACCAGCCTAGCCAACATGGTGAAATCCTGTCTCTGCTAAAGATACAAAAAATTAGCCGGGCCTGGTGGCGCCTGTAGTCCCAGCTACTTGGGAAGCTGAGGCACAAGAATCACTTCAACCTATGAGGCGGAGGTTGCAGTGAGCTGAGATCTCACCGCTGTGCTCCAGCCTGGGCGATGGAGCAAGACTCTGTCTCAAAACAAAAACCCAACAATGTCTTTTGTGTGAGCTTTAGGTGAATAAATGTAGTATTTGTCCATCATTAAAAGTTCAAGTACATAATTGTGTTTTTACTTCCCCACAGGATTTGTCCCATGCCACCATTGAAATGTATACAAGCATTGGGAGGATTCGATCTGCTAAGTTTGTTGGAAAAGATCTGGCAGAGTTTTACATGTAATTGATTTTGTACTTTTCTTTGAATTCTAAACATACAAATAACACGAGAAGATTTGTTATATATGGAGTTAGTATAAAGTGCACATAAATTTGTAGACTGAAAAGTGTAGATTCTCTTACCCAGTCCTCATAATTTTTTTTTCAGTTTCTTCTGAAAACCAGATGGAGAGATTTTCTGCTTGTTACTCTTAATAACTGTTATTGGTCTTTGAGGTTCTTTTATTTAATTAAATATATACATTTTTGTAACTAAGTTTAATTAAAGAATTATAAGACAGTATAATGGTGAGTAAATTGGCATATAGATTCTTACATATTTTGTTATATAGCATTTCTCTAATTTTATCAAGTATTAAGAGGACTGAAAAACCTCAAGGCCATTGATGTAAAGCTACTGCATGTGTCAGGTTCATGAAAGAGGGATGATCTAGGGATGACTGGAAGAAGGTGTGTACAAAGACTGCAGGGTTTCCATTCCAGCTCCAGCTTTGAAGTTTGATTCCAGAAAAACTCAAAATTTAGCGTATTTCTGGTGTGTTTCATAAAATCAGACTATCAAAGAGAAGAAACCCCAGTGGGTCATGTGGTTACCATTTCAGAGTACTCAAAGGAGATACAAGCTATAAGGAAAAAGATGCTTGTTTTCATTTTCTAAAAAAAAAAAAAAAAAAAGTGATTGAAATGAGATCTTGAAATCTGTACTCAAGTGATTTCATTAGGTGAAGCAAGAAATGAGAATTGATTTGAACTGATGTGAATTGGCTGGAAAGGGATTCTTAGATCAGCTAAGTGAACTTTCTGGTTTTCCGGATGTGGTTGGAGCAGCTTTGCCGATTACCCACTGGTTAACAGCAGAGTCACAGCTAGAATGTAGCTCTCTTGAACTTCCATGCTGTGTATCTGAAGAGGAAGGTGCTCCTTAAGGAAGCAGAGAGGCTTCTCGGGAAAGGGGAGGGGATCCTTGTTGCTCCTGAGGCTTTGACAAGCCCTTATTAATTTGCATTTTAAAGGCAGGCAAGGCCGCACACACCAGTAGTCCCAGCTACAGTGGAGGAGGCTGAGGCGGGAGGATCACTTGAGCTGAGGAGTTTGAGACTGCAGTGAGCTATGATCACACCACTGTATTCCAGCCTGAGTGACAGAGCAAGACCCCATCTTTAAAAAAAACAGTTGTGCTTTAAACTTTGCTTTGGGGGCCAAGTGTGGCTATTTTAATTCTCCGGCGTTCTCTGGAAGCTGGATCCTGTGGAGTGCTCTTTGCCTGAGTTTCCAAGTGGCTCTGTGCTCCCTTCCGCTTGCGCCCTGTAGACTGCTTCTGTGTTTCTGTGCCTTTAGTAGGTAGTGTAGACCCATACTTGGACTTCCTGGCTTCATTGCTGACTAGCAGTGTACTTGTGGACAAGCCCTTCCTTCACCTTCTCTTAGCCTTGGCCCTCTTGCCTGTCAGCTTGAGATCATGAATGATAGGCTCACTTTCTTATCCTGAGATTCAGCTATGAAAGTTCCTCGACATGTGTATAAAGCCAGACCAACGATGTGTTGTGCTCTTATCACCACACGCTCATTTCTCAGATCTTTGCCTGGGAGTCTAATTATGTCGTCCTGAGTAGGTACTCTTTCTCACGGAGTGGGGTGGGTGGAAAAGGGCTATCTAGAGATGTTGAGTCTGTCCTGGCATGGGGTCTGGAGGATGGAGGCCAAAGCGGGAGAGATGGGGTTTCAGTGTGTTGATTATCCCTAGCTGTAATGAAAGCTACTGTTTGTTGACTTTGCAAGGAGGAAAAAGGCTCCACAAAAGGCAGAAATCTATCTTCAAGGAGCACTGAAAAACTACCTGGCTGAGGGCTGGGCACTCCCCATCACACACACAAGGAAGCAGCTGGCCGAATGTCAAAAGCACCTTGGACAAATTGAAAAGTATCCTTTAATGTTTTCATGAAGCAGGAAAATTATTTTCTGTTTATACGGCAACATTGCCCACAATCAATGTTTCATTCACACCTATTATTAAGGAGAGAAAAGTCCTAACTTATACATATGTATTGTATAGAAAATGAATGAAATGTCTAGTCGATTTTTTATAATCTAATTTTGAGCCCTAGTAACTTAAAAAAAAAAAGCCCTTTGGCTTTTGAAGCCTCTGTGAAGGCCGTAGGAGACTTTGCATCCACTTCCCCCCGCACTCCTAAGTATGAGCCTCTCCACGCTCCTTACCTCTCCGCTCCAGCTACCTGCAGACCAGCAGCCTCTTAGCCAGTGACCACCACCTCACTGAAGAGGAGCGCAAGCACTTCTGCCAGGAGATACTTGACTTTGCCAGCCAGCCGTCAGACAGCCCAGGTAAGACCAGTTCTTACAACTTGACTAGGAATATTTTCAAATATTACAGAAGTAAAAAAGAATACAAGATATACCAACCACTTACAGTAAACAGTTGCTAACATTTTGCTGTGTAGCTGACATGTATCTATGTCTTTCACCTGACTTTTTTTTTTATTTTTGCTTTAAGTCAAACTCTAGACCACATTAGATCTTCTAAAAATAAGGACAGTCTCTTAACCACACCCAAAGAATTAATAAGGTTCTAATATCATCTGCTAAGTAGGCCATATTCATATTTCCCTAATTGTCTTAAAGTATTTTATAAATCATTTTTAATGGAGTCCAACAGGATATCACATATTACATGTGGTTGTTAGATCTCAGTTCTCTTTTAATGTAAAAAAAGTTCTTCCCATCTCTTTTTCTTCTTCTTCTTTTTTTTTTTTGAGACAGAGTCTCGCTCTGTTGTCCAGGCTGTAGTGCAATGGTGCCATCTCAGCTCACCACAACCTCCGTCTCCCGGGTTCAAGCAATTCTCCTGCCTCAGCCTCCCAAGTAGCTGGGGTTACGTGCGCCCGCCACCATGCCCTGCTAATTTTTTGTATTTTTAGTAGAGACAGTGTTTTGCTCTGTTGGCCAGGCTGGTCTCAGACTCCTGACCTCAGGTGATCCACCCACCTCAGCCTCCCAAAGGGCTGGGATTACAGATGTGAGCCACCGCACCCAGTCTTTTTCTTCATTTTTTAAGATGGTGCTTTTTTTTTTTTTTAAAATGTAACAGCATTATTGTGATATTCACAAACCATGTAATTCACTCATTTGAAGTTTATAATTCAATGGCTTTTAGTCTGTTTCAGGAATATGTGCAACCATTACCACAGTCAATATTATTGTTCTTTTTTTTTTTCTTTTTTTTTTTTTTTTTTTTGACTATCTTGCTCTCTTGCCTGGGCTGGAGTGCAGTGGCACGATCCCAGCTCACTGTAGCCTCAACCTTCTGGAGTCAAGAGATCCTCTTACTTTGGCTTCCTGAGTGGCAGGGACCACAGGTGTGGGCCACCACACCCAGCTATTTTTTTTCTTCTCTGTCTCCCAGGTTGGAGTGCAGTGGCATGATTGTAGCCCACTGCAACCTCTGCTTTTTGGGCTCAATTGCTCCTCCCACCTCCACCTCCTGTGTAGCTTGGACTACAGGAGCATACCACCATGCCTGGCTAATTTTTGTATTTTTAGTAGAGATGGTTTTGCCATATTGCCCAGGCTGGTCTTTAACTCCTGAGCTCAAGGAATCTACACACCTCGGTCTCCCAAAGTGCTGGAATTACAGATGTGAGCCACCATGCCTGGCCACCACAGTCAATTTTAAAACATATTTATCACCCTAAAAAGAAACCCCATACTGTAATCCCCAAAGTGCTGGGATTACAGGCGTGAGCCACCACGCTGGGCCCCAGATGCTTGTAAGTGAATACACCCCAGCAGTCAATAACCACATCAACCTGACCCTGAAACTTCTAGGAACTTCTGCCTGCCCTGGGAGGCCGGGGCAGGCAGATCACTTGAGGTCAGGAGTTTGAGACCAGCCTGGGCAACATGGCGAAACCCTGTCTCTACAAAAAATTAGCCAGGTGTGGTGGCGGGCACCTGTAGTCCCAGCTACCCAGGAGGCTGAGGTAGGAGGATCGCTTGAGCCCAGGAGAACTGGGCTGTAGTGAGCCAAGATGGTGCCACTATACTATAGCCTGGGCGACAGAGCGAGACCCTGTCTCAAAGAAAGGGGGACAACAAAAGATCCATGTGGGTGGGTTTCTCGGGAGCATCATGACGTTAGTCTGTGGAGTCTTTAACGCGCCCAAGCTGACTGTTGGTAGAGCCGTGACCACATCTGCTGCTGCTTTGTATTTGAGACTATTTGAGTTGTGATGTTCCTGCCAACGTTCCTTGGTATCTCTATACGAATAAAATATTCCACAATCGTTTACTGTTTCTCATGATCTATGGCATCAGTCTTGGCAAGTCCTTTCGTTGATGAATATTTAATAAATACTTAACTGGTCACTTCTGCAGCCTTGTGTATTTTCTAGACAAAACCAAGGTACTTACAGTTCGGTCAGAGAGAGAAGGGCCCAGAGAGAGCATTAGGCTCTCATTCCAGCAGCAACTGTAGACCTGGCTGGTTGCTGCCATCCTGGGCCTGGGGGCACAGAGGGGTCCTGCTTAATCGGCTGACTTTGTAGACTGGCAGACACCTGGGGTTTGTTTCCACATCACAGCAGGGCACTTGGGCATCTTCACTGAGCATGTTTTTAAGTAGGTGAGAAAATATTGGAATCCCTTGGAAATAGCTGTAGAAATTGGACTATTTACAAATTGTCGTTTGAAATTGAGAGGTAGTTGACCTGTATTTCTCTTAGGTTTGTCAAAGCAGACTTGAGAAGGTTAATTTCTGTACATTTTATGATTTCTAGGCATTACGTAGGTATTTGCTAATATTCTGCTTTTGATACAATAGCCTTTGGGGGGTGTGAAGATGGCAGGAGGCTGGGCTCAGCTGCTGTGCCCATCACTGCTGCTTGCTTCAGTCTGCTCTCGGTGATCTTACTGTGTCCGCGGCCTGCTGCTGCTTACTGTCAGGAAGTGTGACTTGGGGAGTCACTTACGATAATGTCTATTTACAGGTCATAAGATAGTGCTACCCATGCATTCCTTTGCACAACTGCGAGATCTCCATTTTGATCCCTCCAATGCCGTGGTCCACGTGGGCGGCGTTTTGTGCGTTGAGATAACCATGTACAGCCAGATGCCTGTGCCTGTTCACGTGGAGCAGATTGTGGTCAATGTCCACTTCAGCATTGAGAAAAACAGCTACCGGAAGACTGCGGAGTGGCTTACCAAGCACAAGACGTCCAATGGGATCATTAACTTTCCACCCGAGACCGCACCTTTCCCTGTATCCCAAAACAGTTTGCCCGCGCTGGAGTTGTATGAAATGTTTGAGAGAAGCCCATCTGATAACTCCTTGAACACGACTGGGATTATCTGCAGAAACGTCCACATGCTCCTGAGAAGGCAGGAGAGCAGCTCCTCTCTAGAGATGCCCTCAGGGGTGGCTCTGGAGGAGGGTGCCCACGTGCTGAGGTGCAGCCACGTGACCCTGGAACCAGGGGCCAACCAGATAACATTCAGGACTCAGGTATGCGTTCAGGGTGGGAACTTGACTTTCAAGTTTGTAAAGCAGGGCCGTGGAGCTTACAAGAACTGTCTGGAGTGTGCTGTGAATTGAGTAGAGTCCTTTGTTCTCCTAACCCTGTTTTTGTCTCTGTCCTTATACAAAAATACACTGATGTTTTCTTTCGTGTTTTATACAATTTTCTGACATTTGATAAATTCTGAGTGAAGTTCTTAACGTAGATATTTGTTCTTAGATTAAGTTAGCTTTTTAACTCATTGGATTATTGGATTCAGTTAGCTTTCCCCCCTGCATATGAAAATACACACCCTCATTTGTTAAAATGAGCTTTCAAAGAAGGTGGTACACTTTCCCACTCAAACTTATTTTCCTTTTGTGGCTGGCTGGGTGTCAAAACTGGTGTTTCTCACCCACTCTAACATAAAGTTTTCTCTGACACAGGATATCCTGTAAG